>NC_000013.11:80547875-80700715 GCF_000001405.40 Homo sapiens
CATATACACATGTGTAAAGCCTTCAGCTTTCATTACTCTATTTTATCCAAATTTGTTATTTCTGTTTGGTCTGTGTCCTTCATGTTAGAGGCTTTCCTGAAATGTACTAAGATCCTTGGCCACCCATAAACACTTAAGAATGAGTCATTAAATATCTGATTAGAAGCTCTAGGGTTGTCAACTGGTATGCCTCTCTGTTAGGTGATCTGGCCCTGCTGTTTGCTGTGAACTCCTAACTGCTAGTGTTTTTCACATGTTTTCTCTTAGTCTGGTTAGACTTCCCGTTGAAGAATTATCTAACCTCCTACCAGGAGGGTCTGATGCTGACTGCTAGTATTCTTAACATTATGTAAGAGGAAGGATCGGAGAGCTCTCATGGTTCCGCATGTAGCTGATTAAAATTAATGTGCCCTTCGTATGCCCTTTGTTCTGTAGTTCAGCATCCCTCTAACTCATCCTCTATGGAAGGTAAACTTCAGCCTTCTGCAGAAGAAGTTGCCTAGCTGTGGTGTAGTTAGGCATCTTATTCTCTGTTTGCAGATGTTTGCAGATGTTCAACAATCCTGATAAATTTTAACCATAATTTATTTTCAGGTTTGTGAATATCTGGTGCTGTCAGTTCTGGGGGATTTCTGAGTTTTGCAGTGTAAATCATTTTTCTTCTGCTTCTAGACTGTCTCCACGGCTATCTTGGGATTCACCTTTTTCAAGGCTAAGTTGCTATTTGTCTATTTGCTTGCTTTCTAGCTTCCGAATGTGCACTGCTGTTGTCTTTTCTAACATGACGCTTGTATTTGTGGTTTAATGCCTTAAAAATCCACTTTATTATTTTAGGGAGGTGTCAGGAGGAAACAGAAGTAACTGTGTGTGTTGATTCTACTGTACAATTTAGAGTACTTGGAATATATAATTTTTGTTGCAACCTATTAAGATATGGCATTATTTAAAAACACTGATCTAAGCGTGGAAGTCACAACTTTAGAATTTTTTGTAAAATTTCAAAAAATATATTTTTAAAGGGGATAAAATTAAATCATGAATCCTTTTAGTAACAATCTACATTTGTTTTTATGTGCTTCACACATCTCTTAATAACCATGAAGGGATTACAGTATTCTCAGTAGATCAATTCCATACTTCTTATTAATCATTCTAGCTTTTATAATGCTGGAAGTGCCAAAATATATCCTCATTGCAGCTGCATATTCACAGTCCAAAACATTCTTTCCAGTATGACTTGATTATCCTCATCAACTTTGTAACAACCTTCATATGTGAGGTGAGAGAGTAAAGGAATCAGTCTTGCCACCAATAAGAGTGGATTTGGAGTTCTAATGTGAATTCAGATTAGAAACAGAGCACTAGTTGTGAGGAGAGTTAGTTGGAGTGAGTTGCTCATTCTGTAGTGGAAATACTAACAAAAAAGAGAAAAGAGCAAGCTTCTGAAACATGACTGCTGCTCATTTTCCAGAGTTTGTTTAAATATTTCATAATTTCAAAAAATAAATGCTGAGTTAAAGAAGTGAACATAATAGTAAATGTTAAAACCCAGGCAAAGAAGATGAGAAAATCTGTATCTAGTGATATAAATATGGTTCCAAAGCAATATGATAGTAGAAAAGAGTAAACAACATGTAAATTAGGATTGAAGAGCTGCCTCCATTCTTGTAAGATGCAGTTTAAGGTTTGCATAACTTGTATGTAAGAGTTAAAATAGTCCACGTCATGGAGTGGTTTTTATAGAGGACTTCTATATGGCAGAAGAAATTGAAGAAGGCAACAGAGCTCCCCTGAGGGCTAACCACCCTTATTTCAGTTAATGGGATATGTGCCCAAATAAGGGCTCACTGAAACACACACACACACACACACAAAACTAAATATGAGGTTAGAGAAAAAAAAATTTATTTCAAATAGGCTTTCCCCTAATGAGCAGATTGCATTAATTTCCTTAAAAAATTTACATGAATACTTCCCCCCAAAAAAGTCCATATATTTTTTATGCCATTTGTCTTTGTAGAAAGTGGCATTTTATGCAACTTGTCTTTGGTTCTATTTCCAAATATATGCTCTAAAATTAGCATATAAATTTATTAAGTGCTCAATGGCATGTAAATCCACTAGATAAATTATAAAGAAAATGAAAGATATATTTACAGTTACATTCAGTTCTGAATTTTAAAACCAAGAGAAAAAACAAGACAAAACAATTAAAAATATTCAAAAAGGGTTACACAAAAATCTAAGAAAACAGTGCAATGCAGAACGAACTATAAGAAAAAAAAAATCTATGCCAATTAAAAAAAACAATGGGACTCTTTTATTGTGCCTACACGTGAACTCAACTTCAAGAGACACTGAATGCATTTTAGCAAATTTGTCAAAATTGGTCCAATTGTTCAATTCCATTTGACCTAATAAGGTAAAAATTACATATGTTGACCACAGTTGAAACAGAGATTTCACTACTTAAGTCAGTAATGTGTCTATCATTCATTCATTGATTTGTTCATCAATAATTTTTACAAATAATTACTTAGTGTTTTTACAAATAATAACTTAGTGTTTTTTTTTTATCAGCTGGGTGTTAGGACATTGCAGATGAAAAACACATGATCCTCCTCCTTCAAGAGCTCAAACTTGGAGAAGGCATATTCAAGAACATATAACAATAGAACTGCCATGCGATGTTTTTATAGAGATGAGATGTTAAGTGTTGTGGTAAAAGAAATAGAGCATTTAGGCAGACAGGGAAGTAAGCAGTAATTGTAATAAGAGAGAAAATAATTATTTTGAGAAATATTTAAAAGTTAGAGCTATGAAGTATTTATCTTTAATTTGATTCAAGAATGATAACCTTGGTTTCTAGTTTGGCCAAATGGTGGATGTTTCTATTACTGAAATAAGGAAGGAAGAAAAGAAGCAGAGGGAAGTATTAGATACCTTAGCAATAAATAGTAAAATAATTTACTTTAATACAAGGAGGGATTTTTTTGGGGGAAAAGTGGTTTATTTCTCTAAAATAAATAAGGCTTTTTAAAATTCAAATTCTGGAAATGTGTTACTAATACCAATTGATCTCCACATATTCGTGTATCTGCTTTCCTCATTCCTGGAATGGGGTATTATTTAAATTCAGTTTCTCTGGAATGTTGCCTTTGGCAAATAGCCTGAAGAAGTACATAGATTTAGGAAAGTCTTTGCAGATGGAAATTCTGCTTTCCCTATTTTATTACCATTAATGTTCTTCCCTTTTCTTGACCACAAAAAGGAAGAATTCAATTAGAAGACGTCTTTAGGTTTAAGCTTTGCTTATAATAACTGGATTTATTTAGTTATCACAGGACTAACAGATGTGCCTAAAAGCCACCTTATGTTTTCCAACATAATATTGTTGATCTTTTTTTTTTTCCTTTTTGGACCAGGGACCAGACAAATGGTGACCAGACGGTCCAGTCTAGAAAAGCATAATTGCCAACTCTGACTTCAGCAAGGGTGGAAAAACTCAGAGGAAAATGGGAATTTAGCCTCAAGATAGTAGTTTCCATGTGTGAGTGGGTTTTAAATTCTCCAAAGGAAAAAAAAAAAAAAGGAATAATAGAAAAAACTGCAAGAAAAAATTATTTGAAGGATTTAGGGTGATAAGTTTATTTTTGGGAAATCTATTTAAAATATCTATTTCCTGCATACCTATATTTGTACTAATAGAAATAATTAAACTTGTTTTGTTTTGCAGACTTTAGAGTTTATCATCATTACTTTAAAAGGAGTTAACTGAGCTGACAGATTTGATTACTCAAAGTGGTCTGTCTCATTTTTTATTTCACTTTGACATAAGACTTGGCACAAGTCTGTTACAAGCTATGCACTTTTATTGCTGCACTTCTAAGTTATAAATCTGGTTTACATCTATGGAAAATGTAGTGTAGAATTGAAGACATGTCCAATTATCTGGGCAATTTGTTTTATGAACTTATACCAAATTAAATAGAAAGCATCGACAGTATTTGTTCTTCCTCTGTGGGCTGCAAATCAGTTAGAAAAAAACCTTCTTGAACAGGGGCATTGAAAGTTCTGGCTTTTCAGACTGTTTCCTGAATGGGTTCTGATTAAAACAGGATCTGAAAGTCTGATTGATAGTCTCTGTTTCCTTTCTTAATGTAACAAATACATTCAGAATGTTGACTCCTATGAAAAGTAGAATTGCTGAGCTGGACTGCATTGCCTTTAGCATTTCTTCATAATAGAGGAAATGATTTGGCTAAGGGCTGGGTATGGCTGTTTTCTCAGAAAATAGTTATTGAAAAATATTTTGTATGTCTCTCATCTATAAAAAAATGAAATAGAAATTCAGCCTGAGATAAGCAATCAAGACTTAGTATTTTATGTATATGCTTTTAGACCTTTACAAATAGAGTGACTCATTTGACCATCTGTGTAGGTGAAGTGTTAAGCATTTGGCTGCTGGTAATAAAAAAAGTAGGTATGACACCAGGGATGTAATGCTATGCTATTATTGAAGATGATAGTGGGAAGCTATATGACATTTTAAAGAGGGAGACTAATGAAAGAAAGGAAAGAAGGAGAGAAGGAAGGAGGGAAGGAAGAGAGGGATGGAGGGAAAAGAAAGAGAGAGAAAGAAAAAAAGAAAAGAAGGAAAGAAGAAAAGAAGGAAAGAAGGAAGGAAGGAAAGAAAGAAAAAGAAAGAGAAAGAAAGGAAGGAGGGTGGGAGGGAGGGAGGGAAGAAGGAAGGGAGGAAGGAGGGAGACATCAAGCCTGTGAAAATTTAGGAAACTTCCTGGACTAAAACTAACATGTAAGTTTAAAGGAATCAGTTATGAACTGATTTAGAGTTAGTGCTTGGATTTGTTCCCCTTGGGAAGTAAGGCTGATTGATTCTTTTTTTTTAATGACAGCCTATTTTCATTTTATAAGTAAACTTATTTCCCTTATTTTTCTGGGAATATTTAAAAGTCTCTTTTAGATTGTTTTTATCAACACTATTACCTCACATGTAAATTGTTTTGTTGGTTGAATTTATTTCTCTTTCATTGTGTTGCTTTATTTCTTTGGTGATGTGATTCATGAGTGTGTATATTTGTATCTAAGATTACTTGTTAGAATTTCTGCTGCATTCATTTGCACAACCTGCTTGGCAGAAATGTTGGGAACTTTTACTAAGGCTTATTTTGTACTCTACTGTGTCTTTAGTTAAATTTAAGGAAACATGTGTTTGCTTAGAGATTGTTTTTCTTGTTGTCTCCAGAGATGGACAGCCCCCTGCAGCTGTGTGATCTCTTTAACATAAACTCCCATACTGTCTCCTTCCACGTCCTACCTTGCTCCCTGGAAGCGGGCAGCTGCAGGGTGGTGGACTTCTCTGTTGTTCCTGGGATGTCCCCGGTGCACAGGCTCCCCTTCTCTCAGGCCTGGAGGGTCATGGTGGAGCCCTCAGTCTTTTGGGTGGCATTATCCCTGGTATTTCCTTTGTTACACTCTCCTTCTTTCTTTTGTTCCCATCGTTGTACCATCTCAGGAATTCTCCATGGTTTCTGATACATGAAGGGTTTCTTATCTTATTTTTGTGTATGGTTATATGTTCATTCACTTAAAGTATATATTCTGTTATCTGTGAGAATTTGACATTGCTCAGGCTGATGCTTTAAAACAAACAATACTTTTCAAAGGCTTATTTAGGCAATTGGGCTTATCTGGGAATTTTTACTGCGTTCTCAGTCCAGATTCATCATGGTAACTCACTACACTACCATGTGTGAATAATTCTGTGGAGAATTACTAATTCTCCAATTAATTGTCTCTTTACTGCAGACGTTTACAGTCATGCATATCCAAAGACCTACCATAGTGGAGGACCATTATATAATTAAGTTATTTCTATTACTTTTTTAACCATAGCAATTTAGAAATCTCAAAAAACACATGTGTTAAATTATTAAACAAATTTTTTAGAAAAATATGAGGTGTCCAATTTCTTTCCATTCCCTTATAATTATTCCAGGCCTTAAGTATAACCACTTTTTCTATCAAAGGGGGCAAAAAAAGATATCAACAGGGAGAAATATTTTAAAATGGAAAACTAACAAACACTTCAGCTAATGCTTAAGATAATCTATTAATAAAAAAATACTCTCTTAGGTTGAAGTCCACAGTCATCTATGACAAATTGACTAGCACAAATACATAATTAGAAAATAGTCTTTTGTGATAGTAGCAAAATGTAGTTGCCTGTTAAAACTAATTTATATTTATGGATGAGGATTCTGCTCTCCAGTGGATGGTCAATGCTCATTTGTATCATATATGATAATTAAAAACTATTTCTCAGGAGAGCTATTATGGAAGGCTTAAAAAGAATGTCCTTATTCCTATGCGTGTTTTCTAACCTGTTTTTCCTTCTGCTCTTAAAAATTAACTGGATACTGTATTGAAACTTATCTTTATTGCTTTTTATTCTCCACAGAATTATTCACATCATAGTCTATTTTTATGCATTTATTATACTAATTTTCTTTTAATTTGACAGTTTCCTCATGTTTCTATGCATTGTTTTGACAGTGAGTTACTCATCAAGATTCTACTTGAAAAAAGAAAATGATAGTTCATGTTCACATTTAAACTTAACTCATTTTAGTTTTTCTTTTTATTCCACAGTCCTATGTGCATGACAATGACAGAAACTATAACTGACAAGATAATAGTTTAAACTTTATAAGTTGAGCTAGCTACAGAGGGCTCACTGGATACTAAAAACTGAACTGAAACCATTTTTTAAATAGAGGAATATTTTTAAAAGCCCACAAGAGATGGACAATATAATTTATTTTCAAAAGCCAATACTTTTCATGCTTTATCAATAATGAGTTAACTTGTATACTATTTACTCTTATTCTTTCCCCATGGCATAAATGACATGGATAATAAGTATGCCATGCACTGGCTTAGTATGATTAATATTAGTTTTCCTTAACTTGCATCATGCCTCCTCCCTTTGTTGAGAGGGATGAGCTTTCTTATGATTGATAAGCTTTTTTGCTCTTTTGTTTTCACTCCTTTCTTCTTTGCCCTTTGTCTTCCCTTTCAATTTCCTTTTGTTTGTCTGTTTTGACAACTTATTTATCTTGTTTTCTGCCTCTTATCTCAAGGATGTCAATGATAGCTTCTGACATAGTTTTGATGGTGCAATGAGATTTTCTTCTGCGCACTTCTTTCCATTTTCCCCTGCCTCCTATGGCTTACACAGTTTGATAAAGAAGATTGAGAGGTTAAAACTCTTTGAACTAATATTTTAGTTTCTGGAAAAAGCCTTTGGTTTGTCAGTGTTTTACAAGTTTATTAAGCAAAGGTGCCTCATAGCCTACAGAAGGTGAGGTGCACAGCCGACAAGGACATCTTGCCTCAGGGTATTATATCAGGGGTCATCAGCTAACAGACCTGGAGCTGAACTCTGTTTCAAAGGTAGTGAAAGACGGACCTGGACAGGAAATTCCTGCCCCATTCTGAGCCCCCTTTTTCCTTCTTGGGTAGGCAAGCTGAGGTTGGAGACTGGGGTTTTCTCCTAAAATCAAATCAAATAGTTTCATAACTTTTTTTTTATCAAAAAGTCCACGTAGGGGTCCATGGAACCAAATCAAATAGTGGCTTCTCTCTTCTCCAGGATAATTAAGGGGAAAGGCTGGAAGCACTATAATTTCTTAAGTGTGGGCTCTATGGGCACAATAGAAAATATTATTTTTAACTCCGTATTTAATTTTTTTATAACCCTTGTTTTTGTGGTGATCGTTTATTTTTGAATATTTTGGGACTATAGTGATCATACTAAAATCCATGTTAGTATAGTAGAGAAATGTGATTTTCCTTTGTATAGATTTTTAAAGTTTTTTTAATGTATACTATCTTATTAAAATTTTCATAAAATGGTTTCTACAAATATTACATAATTTGGATGGAATTTTAACAAGACTACACACTAAAAATTATTCTAAATGAGGTCATTATCATATTAAACATGTAGCTGCTATATTGCCATTTCTTTGAAGCATAGCTTTAAACAATAGAAGGAAACAATCATTCGTACTCATAAAGGTCAATTCAAATGTGATGGTGTGAACATCCCACTTTAAAGAAAACCACTACATATTTAAAACAGACAAAAATTCATTTCACACAAAGAAGATAAATACCACTGTTTGCTTTATTACCATTCTGGGAATATTAAATAAATAGCAGTGGAAATAGAACAGGACAGAAGGCCTTTTAAGCAGCCTGGACTTTATTCAGCCTGTACTATTGACATTTATGCTCAAGTAACTAAATACCAATTTATAAAAGATCTGCACATGTGGATGTCACATTTAATGCTTAAAAAATCTGCTTTAAAAAACCCATTAAGTTACATGCTAATTTCTTCCTGGAAATACAGAACTTTCGTTTGTCTGCTCAGCGGCCCTAACTTTTCTTCTGGGCCCTGTATCTTACCCCACTCCATTGCCCTAGAGATGCCATTTTACTACACAATAGTTGATTAGTTTATAACTGGACAAATTACAGTATCCCACTCTTTTGGCCTCAGATCAATTGGTCTAGTTATTGGCACGTGGCCCAGATTGGTTGACGCATTCTTTCTCTAGTATTTTCTTCTTATTGTATGTATTTATTGTGGCTAAAGTTTTAATATTTAGAGTTGAGCATTTGTGAGCAGATCCTAGGCTTGCTGGAGGTGGGAGTAGGGAGACAGAAAGAATAAGAGAGAGAGAGAGAGAGAGAGAATGCCAGGCAAAGAATGAAAAGGTGGATGTGAGGAGAAAGAGAGAGAGAGAGAGGTGTTAAGGTGACCCATAGGTGGAGATGAGAAGAGAGATGATCATCCTGATGATATTGGAATTACTGGACTTATTGGTTGCCTGATTTGCCTATAGCTTGGGTGCTCTGCAAGATACTCAATATCCTTCCAGTAAAAGGGCCATCTTAAAGTTTGTTTGTATTGAGTATCTCTCACTGCCATCAAAATATTTTTAGTGAATGTAAATAATATCTTCATTTTTATAGATCTTATTTAGAGAGAGGTCCATTTGAATAAAGGCAAGTTTCCACATATGGCCTATGTCCAAATGCAGAGAACCTCATAAAACTATTTAATACCTATTATGACTAACTTTTAAATAAAGCAAATAGCAAAATAAAAATTGTTGAATCTATTGAGAGATACTTAGAAGATTTTTAGGCTTTGAGACTCAGGCTGTCTTTAATGAGTTAGAAAAACAGTCAGTAAAATAAGTTTGCCTATGAGGTGTGCTTATTTGGTGTACCTTGCATAGACCTAAATAATCTGAGTGATTTTTAGTGTCCTAAATAAATCTCAGTGATTTATGGAATCACCAAGTTGTCTAAAATGAAATTTTCCCATTTATCTACATAAATTCAGTTTAGTATTATCTATAATAAAAACTCTTATTATCTACCTCTAAGCTTATTCTCATTTTAATACTTTCGTAATGTTCTCAATTCTTCAATTCTGTGTTGATGTAAAGAAATAGTCCTTGACATACTGCAACTTATATTTAATGAAAGAGGTAAGTAAAATATGTCAGTATAATACTGCATGACATATAGAAGGTACAGTCACTTACTATAAGGGTTTAAGGATGCTAAGAATACAAATGAACTGAGCTTGCCTTGTTGGAGGTTATCACCATTTTCTTGGCTTTAACTACCAGCCAGCAAACTGGAAAATAAAATCTATTGGGCCTAGCAAGCCATGCTTGTAATTCTACATTTCAAGGTTTTTGTTTGCTTCCTTGTTTTTGATTTTGTTTTGAGGCAGAGTCTCACTCTGTCACCCAGGCTGGAGTGCAGTGGCACATCTTAGTTCACTGCAACCTTAACCTCCCGGGTTCAGGTGATTCTGATGCGTCAGCCTCTCGAGTAGCTGGGACTACAGGCACACGCCACCAGGCCTGGCTAATTTTTGTATTTCTCGTAGAGTCGGGGATTCACCATGTTGGCCAGGCTGGTCTTGAATGCGTGACCTCAGATGATCTGCCCGCCTCGGCCTCCCAAAGTGCTAGGATTACAGCCATAAGTCACCACACCCGGCTTTGTTTTTGTTTTTAAAGATAGTGGCTATGTAGAATGTTTTGTGAAGTTTGCAAATCAGGGCCCCTTTAAGACAGACTGAGGACCACAAATATTGGCAAAATGGCCAGTCTTCCAAAGGAACCCCCATTAGTACCTACCGGATGTTGATGATGCCACTCCAGGCACTCAAAATCATGCCCCAGTTGCTTTGACTTATTTCTCTATTAAATGCCACAGCTCTGTCTCTGCCACTGGAGCTCTGCTTTGCTACTTTGCTTGCTCACTTTTGCTCTGACTTGGCTTTTTTTCTGTTGACCTTTGTTCATGGCTTCTGGGCGATGACACACTCCATTCCCCTGTTTCTAACATTGATTTACACGGAGTTTTGGCATCCCTGTTCCTCTCTTTTCAGGGCTTGAGTCTCAAATTGCAATTTGCAATTCACTTGTCTCTTACTTTAAAAAAACGTAAATTCATTTTTAGAAATTTAAATGTATTTTATTTAAATTTGTTTACATTCCTTTCAGGAATCTATAGCTGGTTTACAGATTATAAGGAATAATTTGAGAGTTTTCAATAGATTGGGGAGGGTCATGGTAAGAATATTGACAATGTCAAGGATAGAATAGAAGGCTAGGGAAAGTTTGAGAGAGAAACCACTTGAAAGTAAGGTTATAATATTTCACATTTGCCTGTCTGTTTTTCCCAATATAGACACTTTTTAAAGAGTTCATAACTGTTCAGTTAGCAAATATCTGACAAATAACTGATGGCAAAAAATTATTTCCATAAATAGAAAAGAAACAAAACAGTGAAAGTTTTTTTGTTTTTTTTTTTTGGTGTTTTTTTTTTTTTTTTTTTTTTTTTGAGATGGCGTCTCGCTCTGTCGCCCAGGCTGGAGTGCAGTGGCGCAATCTCGGCTCACTGCAATCTCCGCCTCCCGGGTTCACACCATTCTCCTGCCTCAGCCTCCCGAGTAGCTGGGACTACAGGCGCCCACACCACGCCCGGCTGATTTTTTTTGTATTTTTAGTAGAGACGGGGTTTCACCATGTTAGCCAGGATGGTCTCGATCTCCTGACCTCGTGATCCACCCGCCTAGGCCTCCCTAAGTGCTGGGATTATAGGCGTGAGCCACCGGGCCCTGCCAACAGTGAAAGTTTTAACCAAGGCTGCTGCGTGATGAAGGAAGCATTATAATCATTTGACTTCTCTTTGGAAGACAGAGGAAAGGAAGAAGCTCAGATCTCCCCTCAGACTTTAGATTAGCAATTCTGAGCGGTTGGTGCATTATAGACAAAGCAGGGGACATCGAGGAGATAGCAGGTTCTGAAGGTGTGGGTGATGACTTTGGTTTTTGTCCTATTTGATTTTTGGTACCTGTGGGACATCCAAAAGGTGTTGTGTAGTAAAGAGTTAGATATTTGGATCTGGAACTTGGGACAGAGATTGAGCCTGGAGATCTGGCCTAGATAATAGAATTCTTAGAGGTGCAGGACCTCTTATTTAAAGAGTGAAGTACAAGAACATGCTATAGGGGAGATGGAAAAGTAGTCATTCAAGAACTAGAAAGGTGGGCTGGGCGCGGTGGCTCACACTTGTAATCCCAGCACTTTGGGAGGCCGAGGCGGGCAGATCATGAGGTCAGGAAATCGAGACCATTCTGGCTAACATGATGAAACCCCATCTCTACTAAAAAAAAATACAAAAAATTAGCCAGGCGTGGTGGCGGGCACCTGTAGTCCCAGCTACTCGGGAGGCTGAGGCAGGAGAATGGCGTGAACCCGGGAGGCAGAACTTGTGGTGAGCCGAGATCGCACCACTGCACTCCAGCACTCCAGCCTGGGCGACAGAGCGAGACTCCGTCTCAGGAAAAAAAAAAAAAAAAAAGAACTGGAAAGGCATACAAAAGAATAGTGCCATGGAAATTTAAAGAAGAAAAAATATTAAATACTGTAGGAGATAGTATAAGTAGACTTCATGCAGTAGCCCTGTGATTTGACCAATTCATATGAGAGATTCAGAACAAGATGATTTACATAGTGCATTGGTAGAGAATCTTCACCACGCTGGTACTGCCCTGTGATGCAAACCCACCTCTGCATACTATTGGCAGCAGAGGTCCTGAAGGCAGGACACAGGGCACGCTGTGTTAAGAGCTTTCCTCTGTCTGTGCATTTACAGTGCTTGCTTCTGTCTTCTGCTGTGATCTCAATGAAACTTTCACATGTCCCTTTCTTTAACTAGAGAGCGTTTGCTTTCTATATTTGAGAAGACGGTCTTTGCTTGAAGTTGAATAACTTAACTTTTGAGTCCTCAAATAATATATTTAGGTAAACATTTAACCCAACATTCCCACTTTAACTCGTAGCTACTGGTTTTGTAAATAGTATTTGAACATAGTTTGTAAGCACAATATTTTGTGCATAGCTTGTATCCACCCAGAAAATGTCAAATGCATGAAAAATGTAGCTATTGACTTCTGTGTTTATTGGTCTGTTAACATTGCTCTTATGAGGCTGATTGCAATGAATGTTTTTACAATATACATGTGGGCAAGACCACTATTCAGTCTTATACATTTCCAACAAATCGTTTTTGATCATTTTAAAGTGGATTCAGTCTTTGAGGTGAGATTGACAATTAAAGGAAGTGAAAAATGATGAGTTCAATGAGTAAAACATTCAATTCTAATATCTCTTGCTTTTGGTAATTTTAATGAGAGTTTTCTTACTGTTTTTTGTGCTTTTTAGTTTTTGACTCTGTAAAACTGAGTCCACTTGGACTTGGGCCATTGGCCTATTTTGTGTTTCCAGTTTTTGCAAATTGGAACATATATTGAGTTTCATAGTTCATAAGCCAAAAGTCTATTAAAACCCCCTATTTACTCTTTTCTAATGGAAAAATGGAGTGATCTCCAACAGAGAGGGACTCCCTCTTCTGTGGGTTTGCCTGCAGAACAGGAGACTATTTATATGTGAGCTCAGAATCATTGTGCCAAAAAGGTGGTGTGTTTTGATGTGTCCTATTAATCATTGAGTTCTTTTGTTAAGATTTTTATTTTGTGTTTCACGGAATATAAATCTGGCTTATTGCCTTTAAATATTCATGCAGAATCATATATTATCTTAAACAGTTCATGTTTTTGTTGGCATCATTCTGAGATTGAAATTAAGTGTTTCCATAATTTATAAGCAAACCAACTGAGTTTATGAATATAAAATGGAACCAGTGAAGTCACTAGAGTGAAGATGCATAAGTCAAGTTTTTCTGGAAATGAATGTTATTTACTAGTAGTTGAGAACTGTATCCTTATGCTAGAACAAAATAGATTCCCTCTATGAAAGTCATAAAGTAATTCAATCAAATAATCAAGCAATTTTATTTTTGCTGTTGTTTCTACTGTGTTGAAGGGAATGAAATTTGGAATACTGGTGTTATCAACTGAATGTTTCTGTCCCCCCAAAATTCATATGTTGAAGCCCTAACCCCCAATATGATGCTATTTGATGATGGGGGTCTAGGGGAGGTAATAAGGTTATATTAGGTCATGAGAATAAGACCTTCAGGATGGGATTAGTGGTTTCATAAGAAGTAAAGAGAAAGCTGCCATGTGAGGACATAGTGAGAAGAGAGCAGGCAGTGTGCAAGCCAGGCAGAGAGCCCTCACCCAAAATTGAATTGGTCAGCACCTAGGCCTTGGACTTTGCAGCCTCCAGACCTGTGAGAAAACAAAAAAATTATTAGTTCAAGCAGACTAAGACAACTATATGATAATCTCTTAGCTCTTTCACTGTCACTTTATTTTCACAATTTTATGGCAACCTTCATATATCAAATGCAGACAAATCAATAAACAAAATGTTCAACACTGTTAGGTATTGCATGGGATATTAATAGAGTAATGGTAGAGAAATAGAAGAGTGATCAGGGTAACTTCATGTTGAATATGTCAAGGATCAAGTAGTGTAGTTAATGTTGTGAAAAGTAAATGGAGGGAGTGTTTCAGGAAGAGGGAACAGCCATCTCACTGGGCCTGTGTGTATCCTAGAATTACTCTTTGTGTATTCTAAATATTAAATAGAAACAATGGAAAGGAATAGACAAAGTTGACATTTGCTTAGAATTTGGCTGGGAGTGGAGAGAGACTGAAAATATAGAATTTCACGAGGCATGTATAGAAATTCTTTAAAGGAAAATAATGGTGAGGTATTTTAAATTGAAACAATTGTTGAAAATGTAGCTTCTTGGCAATACAATCTATATTGTTAGTTTCTATTCTTACTGTGACTCTGTTCCCTACTTTTATGTTGCAAAACAATTTGATATGTGTCTCTGAGTTCTGTAGGATCCATTTTACTATAGTAAATGCCTCTATACAAGCAGACATTAGAAACTATGAATGGAATTGGGAAGTCAGTATACATTTGCTAGAGTACAGTGTTTTATTTCTATCGCGTAAGTTAAAGTCTAACCTTCGGTGCCAGATTTCTGCACTGATTTCCTGGCCGAGGCTCTGTAAATGTGGTTGGCACCATACTTGAGTGGCTCAGGTAGCCAGGAAGTGAGATTATGTTTACCATTTTCATAAATCCTCATGGAATAAATATAGGCGCCTGTCACCGTTTCTTTTGCCACCCACTCTAGTCTTTAGCAGGAAGGAAGTATCATTTTCATCTCTCACTACAATGAAAGCTCTGAGAATCTGGTTACAGTTTCTCTTAGCAAATGGAATCCCAGAAGTGTCTGCATGTAGCTAAAATGCACATGTATTCCCCTCTCAGGGATTTTTTTTCAGACCATGGTTGAAAAATATCTGCTCTTTAAATTATTCCATTGCTTTACAGAGGAAGTATTAATTACATGACTGTAAGCATAGATCAGGCTGGGATGTAATTACAGGGCTTACTTTGTCTCTGTTGTCCAACAGAATTAGGCAGGAAGCATTCATGATGCCAGCAATTTAAGGTGTTTTGCAGCCCATTATGTTTCTGGTTCTCTCAAGAACCTAAGCATGGATCAAATGACATTTCTGTTGCCCAGTTGTCTGGAAAAAGAACAAAGCAAGTATGACCAAAAATACATTTTTATAAGTTTTATGTTTGTACATTGCTAGAAAATGTTACATACAACCTTAAAAATGTAGTCTTTTATAGCATCATTCTGGTTATCTAATTTTTCTCTAATTTGTGGTAGAGTGAGTCCATTATTAGCTTTACATTTGGTTATCATATTAAACAATGTAGTTGAGGAGATAAATACGTGGTTGTATTATATAGTTTTATATCTTTTAAACAATATTTGTGTATAGAATTGTTCTTAATGCCTAATTTCAAATTAGAAAATTAGAATCACCACAAAACTTTCTAAAACCACTGTTTTGTCTCATTCACTTTTATATATTATTTCCTATGTTGTGATTTTTCATCATCTTATAAAAATGAAATCTATTTAAGTTTTTACTTAGCAGTTCCCTTACTCTCAGCTTTTAAGCTCTCTTCTAATTAGTTAAAGATGCTTTTTTACTTTTCTACTATTTTCAGTCACTTGGGGCTCTACATCTTCTGAAAATTCTCCTCATAGTTACAGATTCTTCTCCCCCTCTTCTCTCATTCCAAATATTTTTCTTCACATGTTTCTTGTCACTCTTGGACGATCTGCACAACATTCCTACTTGTTCCTCAGACCACAGCACTATTTGGTCTCCCTGCAGTCTATCCCAATCACACTTTGAGTGCGTGTTCTTCTAGGAGCCCATGTACGTAGAATCACTGTTAGACCTAGTTGCCTAACCCTCACCTTGTTAACGGTTTTTGCAGTCTTTGTATCTATTTCCTGTCCAAAGTTTCATTTTTCATATTTTTATTACCTTCTTTGAAAACAGGATGACAATTTCTATCATAAATCAGAGTTGAGAAATGAACTTCCATGGCTGCATTTACCTTCTTTCTCCCTCTCCGAACTCTCATTCCCCCTCTCTACCTTAAAAAATCATATTGATAAAAGTCATCACTCCCAAGACACAAACTTGAATTTTGACTAGCATCTTCATTGTTTGCTAGGAGAGTAACACTAAATCTGATTGGTTATCTCACTTCAGAAGGAAATGAACAAATCATATTTAAGGTATTGCAATAGTTAGAGCTAGTAAAATTTAGGTACTGAGAAAGAAAACAAAAATATGTAATGAGAAGAACTTGTGATCCAGAAGGCTCCCATAGTGCAGCACAAGGAATATTGATATAAATGCAAGAGGCCTGGGTGTGAGTCTTGGCTCTGCCCCTTACTTGTGTGATATTGCTGGACACTTTTAAGTCTCAGTTGTCTCACATAAATAGGAAAATGTTATCCCTCTCAAAGAGGTGTCATGTTAAAATCAAATGGGATTATTGATTTGAAAGTATTTATTTTTATTATCTTTTATTATCTTCTGTCCTTTTAGTATCTTCTGTCCTCTATTCTTATACTAGTTAGTCAGTGCTCATTTTCATTTTTGGCTCTTTGTTTTTAAACCTGCGCTTATCACAGAACAGGATGCAGGGATGAACTTCAACTGATGCAATTCTCCTTTGATGAAGGTCACACAGGGTAGCTGTCAAAAGTGTGGAATCTGTAGTCAGGCAGATCTGTGTTTGTATCTCAGCTCTTCTGCTCCCTGTGGTAAGATGCTAAATTTCTTTAGGTCTCAGCTTCCTCATCTGTAAATTGGGAATAATAATGGTATGAGATACTAAATAAAGCACTTGGCACAGCAACTGGAACATAATCTGTTAAATATTCGTTCAATGTTAGTGATCATGAAAACAACCATCACCTGACTGCTGCTAGTCAACATATCCATTACAAAACCTCAAAATGTCAGTCAGGAATATAGTGTTGCACCTGTTTTCTTGTCTTTAAATATTTGTACACCATAATGTTCTAACATCACTTAGACATGCAACCAATCTGACTTTATAAAGTTGGTATATTATCCAAAGTAGTTGAAATTAGAGATGTTGGATTTTATTTAAAGACATGGAAATATTCATATATTTTATATTTAGTTTTCTGTTTTTACACACTGCATGTGAATATATGTAATAAAGATATTATGTTAATGCCAATGATTGTTGCTAAATCAATAAAGAGGAAATTTGTATTGGAAAGATCAGTGAACTTCATAACACAAATCTTGATTTTGTAAACCATTTCTTCCATTGCCCATTAGAATGACTATGTACTATCTTCAATCTAAATTTTGATCTTTAAAATTTCTGTGATCTCTGCCTCCTTGCATGTATCTACTCAAGCCAGAGGAAATAGATACAGTTTTATGTAGAAAAAAGTATCTGTGAAATGGTTTTAATATTGCCCGTGAAGAATATAAAAATGTGTGACAGTGGTGAGGTGACAGTTATTATTCAGATGTCATTGTACATAAAGTATTTGAGTTTAGTTAAGTGGCATGGGGGAAAATTAATATGAACAAATGATATATCTTAATTATAGATTTTTTTAAAGGATTGAAGCATAAGAGTTTTTATTTCAATCTTATTTCAGAAAACTGAATTTTTTCTTTCTTTTTTTTTTTTTTTGAGACAGAGTCTCGCTCTGTCACCCAGACTGGAGTGCAGTAGCACAATCTCGGCTCACTGCAAGCTCCGCCTCCTGGGTTCACGCATTCTCCTGCCTCAGCCTCCCGAGTAGCTGGGACTACAGGCACCTGCCACCACACCCAGCTAATTTTTTTTTTTTGTATTTTTAGTAGAGATGGGATTTCATCATGTTAGCCAGGATGGTCTCGATCTCCTAATGTTGTGATTCGCCTGCCTCAGCCTCCCAAAGTGCTGGGATTACAGGCATGAGCCACCGCACCTGGACAGAAAATTGAATTCTTAAATACGTTTTTGGCAGAAGTTACAAAGAAAGTTTAATAAATAGATAATAATTTTTTTTTTTTTTTAGATGGAGTTTCACTCTTGTTGCCCAGGCTGGAGTGCAATGGCACAATCTTGGCTCACTGAAACCTCTGCCTCCTGGGTTCAAGCGATTCTCCTGCTTCAGCCTCTTGAGTAGCTGGGATTACAGGCACCTGCCACCAAGCCTGGCTAATTTTTTTATTTTTAGTAGAGATGGGGTTTCACCATGTTGGCCAGGTTAGTCTCTAACTACTGACCTCAGGTGATCCACCTGCCTCAGCATCCTGAAGTGCTGGGATTACGGGCATGAGCCACTGCACCCAGCCAATGATTTCTTAATAAGTATATGAATTGCTATGTGCATACATCTTTCTCCAATTCTTGAATATGATTTAATTTACTTAACATTCAATTATAATTTCTTAATATTATTAACTTGCTTGGCATATTCATTTTGCAAAAGGCACAGAAATATTTGTTGTGGAAGTGATGGCCGTTTATTTCCCAAAAATCAGTATTCTCTCTTTCAAGTGGAGAGGTGTCGCTGAAAAAAATACCTGTCTAGTGTCCCAGTGGGAATCTTTCCCAGCCCCACCTGTAGTTAAGTACAGCCATATTGTAATCAATTAAAGGAGAGAAAAATGAGCTCCTCTTCCAGACTTGCCCATAAGGACCTTCCATGAGGCACTCCTTTTGCCTTTTTCCTCTTCTGGATGGTCGGATTAGAGAAAACCCCTGGGAGGACCGTAGAAGGCTTAGAAGCTGGGCTCCTGACTGATTATGTGGGGGAGATTCTCCTGTTGAACTGCACTTGGACCATCTGCATTGGAGAGCAAAATTAAAAGAGTAAAATTAAATTCTAATTATGATAATCCTTTCGATAGTAGCAGTTATTACAGCAACTTATATTACTCTAGTATATTTTCTCAGCTATGTCTTGACTTGTTACAAATAATAGAATCCAAAGATATAATATTTTACTGTTGGTAGCTGTTACACAATATTTTAGCCTTAACATACCACAGTACCCTTTAATTTAACATATAGGTAGTGTCACTTCAATTATCAGAAACCTGTATTTATAGATTTAAAAAATTATTTCTTAATAAAATATCAACTTTTAGCCCTTTTCACATTCTGTTTAATTTTATATAATCCTTAATTGATATCTCAAAGCTCTTGCACACCTCTGTACTACACAAAATTAAAGAACTGCCATTTCTTTTCACCCAGGAAATAAAACTCTCTAAATCTTGAACTCTCAGAAAAGGGGTCCCAGAATGATAATGTAACACTATTCTCCTAACTATACTCCAAATCTTTTGGGTGGTTTGTGTTTCCTCAGAATCAAACCCTGAGAAAAATATTCAAGTTCAAGTTACTTATTTGACAGTTAATTTCAGAAAATGCCAGTAGGGAATGGGAAAGTGTAGAAGAAAAGGAAAGGCAGCCAATAACAAATTCATTAGCAAGCAGGTTGCTACTGAGAATAGCTAGATTTTGTTCTCGCAGAGGAAATCTGGCTGTGCTTCAAAAATACCCCCAAGGTGGGGAGAGCAAGCTGGGACGTTCACACAGCAAACTCCCTTAAGTCATTGGTTGAGGGATGTTCTCAAGGGGTGGTAATTCTCAGACATTTCTAGGATTCAGTGGCTTTGGTAGCCAGAGAAAAACACATACGCAACAAAATGCAGGTGTAGCCAGTTGGAAATCCAGAGAACAGGCATTAAAGTAAGTGTGAGGGGTTTGAGTGGGGCAGCAACAGTGATAATATCCCACTTCAAAATCTTACTCCAAGAACAGCAAGTATATGAATGGAAACTCGAAAATGGTGAAGTTTAGCCACCATGTTATTTTACAATGATATGTACACAAGTCTTTTTTAGCCTAATTTTAGTATTTTTACTACCATAAGATCATAATTTTTATTTCTTCTGTGTGTCTATTTCTTGTTTCTTATCCTTGTGATACATACTACCTTATTTGGTCTCCTGGGCATCTAGTTTTCTATTAAAACAAAAACAAACAAAACATCTTTTCATTTTGTTTGGTGATTTTATATCAGTTCATTTACCATCATCTTGATTTGGGCAGTTACATTAATCTGATTTTCTGAAAAGAATGATGGAGTGTACATTTAGATCCTAAAGAGGAGGAAGGGAACATAGAAATTATGTTGTGCCTCCGATTCCTCTGGTCAGTGCAGATATTGCAAATGGATTACATGATTGCCTTCAAGACTCACTTCACCCTGAGCTTCAAGCACACTTTTGTCAGTTTTGCAAACATTCACATTCTATTGCCCATAGTTTGTATTTCTTTACAATTAAAACCATAATTTTTAATCAGTTCAATAGCCTACCTTCTCTTCATCCATCTCTGCGCTACTAAAGGCTTTTTCAGAAATTCATACACCTGGCAGATGAGCATTTTTACCATTTACTTCCCCAAACCTCACTTGGATGCCATAATGGTTTTGGGGAATGCTTGGGTACCTCCCTAGTGAGCACTGTTGTTAATTCTCCACAGAGACACACAGTTTTTTATTAATTATAACCTTTTTATTGCAAATGTCAGAAAAGCAACTTGAATCCGCTTAAGCAAAAATATGTAAAGGGAATATATTAAAATTTTTCTGGGATGTCTCGTGAATCGAAGGATGGGAAGAGGACTGATCCTCAGTAACAACTGGAACCAGGAGACTAAATTCCACCTTCCTTCATTTTGTATTTATTATTTTCATTAGGAATCTATTTCAAACTTTAGTTTTTTCTGTGCAGATCACGTCTGCTCTGTGTTCCATATGGGAAGGAGCACATGGGAAACACAATGGAAGGACAGTAAGACCTGGCACTAGGGTTTCCATCCTGAAATCTGGGTTACTAGAGAGAGACTGACTTTTACAGCACAGGTTCAGAAATTCTAGTGAACACTCTCATTGGTTACACTTGAGTCCAGTGCTCAGTTCTGTGCTAATCAACTGTGGCCAAGCAGGCTATTTAGGACAATAGTTGGGCAGTTCCAACAGAATGATTTGGACGAAACAAGTTGTATCAAGTGGCACGGAATGGACAGTTAGTGGAATTTTGAGAGTGATGGACAATACTACCATAATTAATTGAGGCATTACCCTTTTCTACTTTCTTAAAATTATAATCTAACCATCTGTCCATTTTTCTCAAAAAAATGCCCTTATCTATTTCATGAAAATGAATGAAAATGTGCCTACAGCTGCATTTATTATTTCTCTTTCCACTCCATTTTTTTTGTAATAAAATAATTGGACTTAATTCCTAAGCTGAATTTCTAGGCCCTTATTATTTAGAGTCTGCCATATTATTTTTGAACTGGTGTCTACAACTCTCAGCTTTATTGTCCTTGTTTCAACCTACAACCTACTGCTGGATTAACCTTCTGAATTAACAGTTATCTCCATAGCACTGTTTTATGAAGACACCTTCTTGGGGTCATTATTCCAATTAAGTATGGCAAAAAAAATCTGCTTGGCATTTAGGGCTCTCTAGTCCAAAATGTACTACAACCTATTTCCCAAGCTCTTATTTTTCCCCCATATGTGAGTGTCATACTTTAGATGCTTCCATTTCTTCCTTTAAGAGACCCTGAGTTTTCCTAGTTTGGTACCTTTCTCCTTCTGTTGCCCATATCTGTAATTCCATTTTTACATTTTGAAATCTCCTTCACCTTTCAAGACTCATAAATAACCAGGTCTTTGCAAATTTTTTTCTTCATCTCTCTATTGAAATAATTTCATCTTTGTACAAAGATATAGTCTGTCTCATATTGTGATCACTGCGGTATTTATGCTAACCCATCTATGAATGTAATTTTTTAACCAGACATTACATAGAACCCTCTTTATCTTAAAAAATTACACTTACTTGGAATAGAGTTACATAGCCTTTTTTTCTTTTCTTTTCTCTTTTGAGACGGTCTCACTCTGTTGCCCAGGCTGGAGTGTAGTGGCACAATCACAGCTCACTGCAACCTCCGCCTCACAGGTTCAAGCAATTCTCGTGCCTCAGCCTCCCAAGTAGCTGGGATTACAGGCATGTGCCACCACTCCTGGCTAACTGGCCTCAAGCAGTCCCCCCCTCGGCCTCCCAAAGTGCTGGGATTACAGGTGTGAGCCCCTGCACCCAGCGAGTTACATAGGCTTTATGTAATCCAATGGGAAACAGTTTTTCAAAATTTCTCCTGTAGAATCCACTTGCAAACAATATTTGCCACAAACGGGGGCTTTATTAAAGATCACACATCAGCTTTAGTTAGGGGTTTTATGGGAAATGCACACTGCTTTTGTGGACTCCAGAGGTAGCAATGTTACCGTAGAACCTTTTGTCTATCTTGTGAACTCTTCACTTCAACATCATTTCTTCTCTGCTTCTTTTGTTCTTTTACAGGCACAAAACAGCAACACCACCTACCCCTCCCATTGCCTTCTTTAGAGTAAGTTCTCTGTTCTGAAGCCTTGGCACAGGCTGACATCCTTCTTACATATTTTACTGAATTGCAGGTAGGAGCTTGGTCTTTCTCATCCTTGTATCTTCTTCAGCTTCAGCAATTGTACTTCATCTACACTTGAATTGCCAAGTGGCATGGAGCTATCATTGCCCCAACACATATGAGTAATACACAAAACTAGAGAAACAAAACTAGAGAACTATGGAGCACATTAAACTTTTAGCTCTGCGTTTTATACTTGTATGTATTCTAGCAATTATGGTCGTACCCCTCTATGAATTTACACCAGCGTGTTCTCTTCTCTGTGAGGTAGAGAAAAGTGAAAGAGAATTAGATGTGATATAAATTAGATCAATAGCTTGTATGGAGAAACATATTAGGGGAATACATTTATATTCATAAGTAATTTTATTATCTCATTTTCTGGTTTCACATACCTATAGTTAAATGTCTTCACTGTGAAGACAATATCCGTGTCTTGAAATAATTTTCATGAATTCTCTTATTTCCCAAGTGTGAGAAGAATTAATTCTTCATGATGTCAAAATTAGAAAATGGTTCCAATGGTTAGGATTACAAAACTCTTCCATGTCCTAATTAAGAACATTGTTCTCTTATGACTGAATTAATTTCACCATGAATGCAGCATTAAGATTAATCTAGTGGAGGGAATCTTAAGTTTCTAATAATTTAATATTACTTACATTTTACCCATAGAACACTATTTAAAATAAAATCATTTGAAAAACATAGAAGTTGACAAAATATTAACCTAAAGCATTAAATGTAGAATTTCCTCCTTTATCACTCCAAATTTCAATGGATTACATGAAATAAGTTGTTGGAAAAAATTTATTAAATAGTATCCCCCTGAATATACTAAATATACGTATTTTACTAGACAAGTTTGAATTAGAGAGACAAAGCTCCTAGGAATGATAATGACTAGGGGATTTACTATAGGGATTCCAACTTACACATTTGTAGGAGTTGGTTAAACTATATAAACCTGCTTTTTTCTACATTAGACACTGAGACTGAAGTCAGGAAGGCAGGCCATTGGGAAGGAAAGATGGTGAAGTGGGGAAGGAACAGGACACATTGGAGCACATAAGAGTGAGCTGGAACACATGCAGGTCTCTTGTCAGCTCCAGCTCCCAACATCAGTGCTATTTCTGGCTAGATGTGAAACTGGTGCCCTTTCCTGTGAAGCTAACCACAGCACTGGCCCAAGAGTCACAGAAGATAAAGGAAGAGACCCAAGAGGAGTTGGACGAGCAAGTCCTGCTGCTGCTGCAGACGCTGCACACACTGGTCTAGGATTTTGAGAAACTGAAGGAGGAGATCCAGCTGTTGCTGGAGTGACTGTCAGCTGGCCCTGCTCCACTTAGACAAGGTGAGCCAGCCCATCAGAAACAATGTGCCTGATTTGCAATGGCACCCGATGTCTTGCATTGTAATTGCATTGACCTTCCCAGTATAAAAGGATATGACTGTTGCTGCTTCTCTTCCACTTTTCAAATGTCATCTAAAGTATCTCTTGCAGCCCACAGGAATTTGGAATTATGCTAAAAAGTGGATTCTGAGAATCATGTTTGTAACTTAAATGAGCTTACACAGTGCATATCACCTTGCATATGTCAAAATAAAAAATGAAATAAAAATCGATACAATCTCTTCTTCTCCCTGGAGTAAAGACAGTATCTTTTTTCTGAATACTATGTGTTCATCAGTCTTCTCATCACAGCTTCAGTGCCTGTATCAGATAACATCTTAGGAAGTCTCATCCAGGCTACCCTTCCTCCAGACACACTGGATATGATCTTAATTGCTAGAATATTAAGAGAAGATAATAAGATAAGAAGGGAAGCAGCAACCATATGATGTGATAATTGTGAGTCTGGGACCTGGAAGCTTTACAAAAGATATTGGGTAATAAAGACTTGGAGACTTACATGTTTAACTTCCTTATCCAGAGTGATCTGATGGGCATATTTATTATGATGATGGTAAAGATATTAAGTTCAAATTCAACCCCCATCTGAGAGGACTGGAAGACTGTTTAAGTTGTCAGGGTAGCCTGACAATGAACCAGGGCTGCATACAAACCATTAGTGAAAACTGCAAAGATACATGTAACACACAGGCAAATATACAAAGAGAACCTTGTATGGAGTGTAAAAGAAGCATACGCCTACAAACTGCTGGAGGCTTTGAAAGCAATTTACCGAGAAAGCTTTTTACAGTGGCCCACTTTGGAGCCATCGATAATTAACTAAACAAATATTTCAGAGTGTATCCAACTGGTTTCAGCCAATTTCCTTAGGGAGTTGTGATACTTTAAATTCCATATAATGATACTGTTGGATCAGTGTCTTCAGCTGCAGTATGTAAGCACACAGGACTTGATTCATGATCATATGGGTAATAATTTGAGATCAATATTTTAAATAATGTAATAGAAAACCAGCAAGGAATCTCTCACAAGTAATAAATAGCGCTTGAGCCTTAGTTGTGGGTATATGGAGTCATTATGAATTCTGCCAAGTATATAGATTTATGCTTATACAAATTACTGAGTGATAAAAGACAACATTTCTCATAATAGCAATATGGTTTCATAACCTATCCAAGAGCATAGGTTTCTTCATGTAGGACACCAAGAAACCAAAGCATTATTCTAACCACTTATTCATAATAGGTCTGACTTTAGCAGCTGATATTTCTGCCTTGCAGAGACTCTGTTTTTCCCAGTCTTGAGATGAGATGTGAAGCTTGTCTTATTCACACTGCGTGGCATATGGAAAGAAGCTCAGGCTTTAGAGGCAGAAATACATCTGCTCGAGGGATCTGCTTAGTGCTAGTTTCTGCTTCTGTAAAATGCGAATGGGAGACGTGTCATTATTTTTCTCTCACAGGGTTGCCCTGAGAAAGCGACACAGTAAAAAGCAAAGTGTATTGCAAACAGTGCAATACTACGAAAACAAGTTAATTTCTGATTTGTTTTCTCAGGTTTGTAGTACCTAAAGGGCTGATGACAAAAGGCAGCCATTCATGTAAAAGCACCTAAATGGGAAAAGTCTCTATTTTATTTATGAAACTCTTTCACTGTCTGCTTTATATCTACTCTTCCTGATACTCATTGAAAATACACATAATTTCATCTTCCTCATAGCCTGACATTCTTTTCCTTTTTAATGAACTGGAAAACATAAGAACTAGCATCATATTCTCTCTTTCTCCATCCTTTTCATCATTTTAACTACTCATATAACGGAGCCTTCAATTGTGGGTCACATGTCAATCAGCCATTTCCAGAATTGATTTGAAAAACTATATTTAGATATGAGGTTGCCTTTTCAGTAGATACAACCATCTTTTCCACTCCTTCTCTTCCACTTAGCTCTTCCATAAGCTATCCAGTCCCCCATTCTCTGGTTTATCAGTGGACTTCTACCAATAATACTTTTTCTATCTGCCTGAATCATTGTGTTAGTTGATTTTCCAACATTCTTTTCCAGCTGATATCGAACCTTGAGTTATTCCATCTATCTGATTTCATTGTTCTTGCTCCAGGGCTGTTAGCTATTCTCTAGCTAATCTCCAGAGATTGCTAGAGAGAATCATCCATCCTATATCCATGCATGCCCTTGTGAATGTCCTGTCTGGACCTAGCTGGAACTCACCTAACCACAGGCAAAATGAATGTAGCAGCTAAATAGCTGGGTTTGCAAAATTTGTTCTGAACCAAGCTACATTGCCCACAGACATTACTTTTTCCTGCACTGCTCAGGCTCTGACTTTTTACCTCCTCATTGCATTTGTGTTTGCCCCACTTCCAATTTTGGCATCTCGGTTTATTATTACATGCTTCATCTTCTGGCTTTAAGCTCATCTCCAAGGGCTGTCATGTTCAAACTCATTAGCCAATATTTTGAATACTCTGGCTTTGGCCCAAGACTAAGTTTTATGACTGTGTTAGTCCATTCTCATGCTGCTAATAAACACATACTCGAGACTGGGTAATTTATAAAGGAAAGAAGTTTAATTGGCTTACAGTTTCACAGGGCTAGTGAGGCCTCAAGAAACTTAAAATCATGGAAAAAGGGGAAGCAAACACATCCTTCTTCACATGGCAGCAGCAAAGAGAAGTGCAGAGCAAAGGAGGGGAATCGTCCCTTATAAAACCACCGGATCTCGTGAGAACTCACTCACTATTTACTTATTGTTTTATCTTTAGAACATGACAAAAGCCCTTTGTCTTAGGCACTCAATAAAAGGTGCCAAATCAATGACTAAATAAACAAATGAGTATGTCTTTGTGCAAAATAAACTGCTACGTAAGAATGTCACTTTCTCAAGAAATCTTATAGAAAGTTTTGCAATCCTGCATAGGAGACTTTAAAGAGCAGAACTACTTTTTTCAAGCTAAACATTGAAGGAATTTTGTGAGGTGGTATCTTGACAAGTTTCCTCATCCATTTCTTCATAATTTCTCTTTAAATCTGGCATTTTACAGCCCAGGTCTCAGTTTTCTCATGGTGCTCTTTGATGGTATAGCTCCTTTATTGAGTGACTCCGCTAAGATTTTTCCCATTCAGATACCACCTCCCCAAATCTCTCTCCACTGCCAAATCTGTTTGCTGTCCACTTCCTGTTAGCCTCTGTACGAGGCTGTTTGGCTAATCTTATACAGGCTTACATCAGTGATAATGGCTTAATGCTCTATGCTTCAGGGAGAAAAATAGGTATTATAATAAAGTTCTTAAAGTACTTTAATCCCTAAGAGTTACTTTTAATGAATTCCTTTCTTCACTTATTTCCTCTCTAATTTCCCCTAATTTCCCCCTTTTTAATTTTATAATATTTATTTCCTAAATAATCTACCTATTCTAAAGTGAGCTTGGCCTTACAGTATTCTTCATTGTGTCTTTCATATTATCCTCCCACTTCTCCTTACTATACTTTTGCATAATAGTTGTCTAATGAGTTTTTATGAAAATAAATTTATTGCAAACAAATGTAAGTGACTGAGAAGTTATTTGTAAAAAAATGTAGTAAGCATCAGTCAATGGCTCACTATTTTAGTTGTGATTTTTCTGAAATTTGAGGATCAAAAGAATATGTGGACTAAAATACATGTTGGCATCATCTGGGATTTTATTGTTGTGGGATGTAATGTCTCTAGACCAGATTTTTTTCCCCCTCATTTATTAGCTTGATGAATGTCACAATATGTATGTGAAATATATTGAGCGGATATAATTAGTTCCATTTCAAGTTGGAAACTGAGGCACTGAGAGGTTAACTAAAACTACATTAGTTTTTAGTAATAAGTTGTAAGCATCTTCAGGTCAAAGGTGATATCTTAGTATAGCCTGCCTTTCTACACAAGCATATCTTCATGTGGTCTGCACCCAGTAAACGATTGTGGGCTTGGAATGTCTGGAAGTGGTCCTAGATTTTATTACCTCCTGCCTAGTGTTCTTTCCATGGCACTATTTTGCTTCATAAAGAGGGCATTACCAATTGGAAGTGGGCGCTTTATTAAATTTGACCTGCTACCTGTAGCCGTGGGCAATACAAGATTGAACAATTCACTTTCTAAATAGGTGGAGGGTTAGAATGGGAAGGTACTTTGCACCAATCAAATCTCCCTGATTTTTGTTTATGGGACAAGCCACTCCAGTTGACTTTGGGCTCTTGTAATTCTTAACAGAATCCAAGTTGTAACCAAGGTATGGATTATAACCAACACTGCTGATCTCCAGCCAAATTTGTACCAGCTAATGACTTTTTGCTGCCACCACATATTAGTTTTAGCAACGAATCATGGCCAAGTTTCATATTGCCTCAGGGAAATGTGCTAGATGTTGAAATGGAAATAGGTGAAGTGGGGGATATGAAGTACAGGGGGCACATTTCAGGGAATGAAACTCAAGGGCATATATATCATCGTGCTATAAAGCAGGGTAAATCATCAAGAACTGGTTGTAAGTTACATGGTTAGGGATGCCAACCATCTGGACATGATGGTGCATTAATAGTGACTATCAAACAAAATACCCAAGTGCAGATGTTCATTATATTTCATTAACGTGAATCCTAGAGGTTTGTTTTTAATTCTATGTAACTATCCTGATTGCCTGAAGTATATGTACAAAATTGGTTTAATACAATTGGTCATTTATATAAATGATGTGGAAAGCTTTTGAATTTTCCCTCTCTGTGCTATATACATTAAAACAAAAACAATCCATACATTATATGTAATAGCTTAGTACTTACGCATTTATCTTTAGGTTATAGAATGGGAGAGATAGGTTTTGACAAAATGGTGTTTAACCTTCTTGAATAGGGAAACTCTTGAAAACAACCACTGTCTATTTTCCAAGGTTCAAGGAAAACTAAACATTGACAGAATCTTTCTAGATAAAGATTGTTATCAAGGCTCCAAAAAGTTAGATGAATCATTACGATCATCATTATTCTAATGTGCAGACTAGTGTGGGGAACATTTGCAGTCAATTTATAGTTAGGGTCAGGATATGAGGATTTTAGTGAAATTGAGCCAAATTGATTAAATTGTTGTTCTCAAACCCCATGCTTCATACTATAGCATACAAGGATAAACATTTTGTTTCAGTCTTCCAACTGAGAAAAAACGTTTTTCACATAAAATATCACTTTTAATTCATCATCTTAATATCATTTTTTTGTGGCACCATAGCCACTGAAGTTTAAATGGTTTTGGATTCAGATTTCTCATAATTTGTGCCAGTATTCTTTATTCACCCAGCTGGACTTCACAGTTACCAAACATATTATTATCTTGCTAAAGGAGCCACAATACCCTAGGACTAGATCATTGAACTATCAGAGGAGGAAATATTGTCACACCAAGAAGTCACAATACCTATCCATTTTAAACTTCACATTTGGGAAACCAGGAATCTTTGAGAAACAATACAGAAAATTTACTAAAGAAAGAAATACAGGAACAACCAGCAATCCTAAGAGGAGCCACAGACCCTCTAAAGGAAGCAGACTGCTACTGCAGGACCTGGGAGACACCCCAAATACTGTGAGTGCCCCAACTGCACAAGTGGGAAGGGGAGAGCCTCCTCCCCCAGTACATCCCCTACTGGAGAAACTGAAGTTCTGCTTGCAGGAGAAGTTTCCAACCTTATCTGGAGCTCCGATCTTACCTGGAGCTGCGACCTTACCTGGAGCTGAGTCAATTTAGAGAGCCGAGTGAAATACAGGGGTAGAAGAAGCAGCAGAAAGGCCCCAGGAGCTCGCTGGGTCCCGAAGCAGCCCATTCCTGCCTGGCACTAGAGGAATTGATTGGGAGGGTGGCCAGAGGAGCAGGGTGTAAAACTCCACAGGAAGAAGGACATCTCTAGCTTAACTGTGTAACAATTTGAATAGGATGAGAAGCCTCCTGCCCAGAACTTGGGGAGGGCACAAATCCAGTGTGCAGACTCCACAGTGTGGGGAAGAACCAAACCCTTTTCTTTCACAGCTGGAAGGCAGGTAGCTGGGGGCAAGTTTTCAAGCCTGGCTTGCCTACCTCCAGGAAACAGACTCAGGGCTGTTGAGGGGGCCACGGTGGGAATGAGACTGGCCTTTGGTTTGCATGGAAACTGGGTAAGGCCTGTGACTGCTGGTTTTCCCACATTTCCCTGACAACCTACATGACTCAGCAGAGGCAGCTATAATCCTCCTGGGTACACAAATCCAGTGACCTGGGAATCCCACCCCATCCCCCACAGCAGCAGCAGCAGCAGCAAGACACGCCCAAGGAGAGTCTGAGCTCAGATACGCCTACCCCTGCCCCCAACCAGATGGTCCTTCCCTACCCACCCTGGTAACAGAAGTCAAAGGGCATATAATCTTGGGAGTTCTAGGGCCCCACCCACCACCAGTCCCTCTCCATACTACTGCAGCTGATGCTCTCTGAAAGGCACCACCTCCTGGCAGAAGGCCAACCAGCACAAAAATAGAGCATTAAACCGCCAAAGCTAAGCACCCTCATGGAGTCCATTGCACCCCCCTCCACCTCCACCGGAACAGGCGCTGGTGTCCGCGGCTGAGAGACCCATAGACAGTCTACATCCCAGGACTCTGTGCAGACAATCCCCAGTACCAGTCCAGAGCTGGGCATACTTGTTGGGTGGCTAGACCCAGAAGAGAGATAACAATCACTGCAGTTCCGCTCACAGGAAGCCACATCCGTAGGAAAAGGGGGAAATTACTACATCAAGGGAACACCCCTTGGGACAAAAGAATCTGAACAACAGACTTCAGCACTAGACCTTCCCTCTGACAGAGCCTACCCAAATGAGAAAGAACCAGAAAACCAACCCTGGTAATATGACAAAACAAAGCTCTTCAACACCCCCCAAAAAATCACCCTAGTTCACTAGCAATAGATCCAAACCAAGAAGAAATCTCTGATTTACCTGAAAAAGAATTCAGGAGGTTGTTATTAAGCTAATCAGGGAGGCATCAGAGAAAGGTGAATCTCAATGCAAGGAAATCCAAAAAACAATACAGTAAGTGAAGGGAGGAATATTCAAGAAAATAGATAGCTTAAAGGAAAAACAATCAAAAATTCAGGAAACATTGGACACACTTATAGAAATGCAAAATGCTCTGGAAAGTCTCAGCAATAGAATTGGATGAGTAGAAAAAAGAAATTCAGAGCTCAAAGACAAGGTCTTTGAATTAACCCAATCCAACAAAGACAAGAAAGAGTAAAAATATATGAACAAAGCCTCCAAGTAGTCTGAGATTATGTTAAATAACCAAACCTAAGAATAAGCGGCAGAAAGAGGAAGAAAATACATCTAAAAGTTTGGCAAACATATTTGGAAGAAAAATGGAGGAAAACTTCCCCAGCCTTGCTAAAGACCTAGACATCCAAATCAAAGAAGCACAAAGAACTCCTGGGGAATTCATTGCAAAAACATCATTGCCTAGGCACATTTTCATGTTATCTAAAGTTAAGACGAAGGAAAAAATCTTAAGAGCTGTGAGACAGAAGCACCAGGTAACCTATAAAGGAAAACCTATCAGATTAACAGCAGATTTCTCAGCAGAAATCATACAAGCTAGAAGGGATTGAGGCCCTATCTTCAGTCTCCTCAAACAAAACAATTATCAGCCAAGAATTTTGTATCAAGTGAAACTAAGCATCGCACATGAAGGAAAGATACAGCCTTTTTCAGACAAACAAATACTGAGAGAGTTTGCCACTACGTAGTCAGCACTAAAAAAAACTGCTAAAAGGAGCTTTAAATCTTGAAACAAATCCTGGAAACACATCAAAAAAGAACCTCTTTAAAGCATAAATCACACAGAACCTATGAGACAGAAATACAAGTTAAAAAGCAAAAACAAAAAACAAAAAAATGAAAGTACACAGGTAACAAATAGCATGATGAATGCAACGGCACCTCACATTTCAATACTAACACTGAATGTAAATGGCCTAAATGATGCCTTTAAAAGATACAGAACTGCAGAATGGATAAGGACTCACCAACTAACTATCTGCTGCCTTCAGGAGACTCACCTAACACATAAGGACTCACATAAACTTAAAAGGGTAGAAAAAGGCATTTCATGAAAAAGGACACTAAAAGCAAGCAGGGGTAGCTATTCTTACATGAGACAAAACAAACTTTAAAGCAACAGCAGTTAAAAGAGATGAAGAGGGACATTATATAATGATAAAAGGCCTTGTCCGACAGGAAAACATCACAATCCTGAACATATATGCACCCACTACTGGAGACCCCAAATTTATAAAACAATTACTAACAGACCTAAGAAATGAGAAAGAGTAACACAATAATAGTGGGGGACTTCAATACTCCACTTACTGCACTAGACAGGTCATCAAGAAAGAAAGTCAACAAAGAAACAATGGATTAAACTATATATTGGAACAAACGGACTTAACAGATATATACAAAACGTTTCATCCAACAACTCAAAATACACATTCTATTCAACAGCACATGGAACTTTCTCCAACATAGACCATATGATAGGCCATAAAATGAGCCTCAATAAATTTAAGAAAATTGAAATTGTATCAAGCACTCTCTCAGACCACAGGTGAAAAAAACTGGAAATCAATTCCAAAAGGAACCTTCAAAACCATGGAAATTAAATAACCTGCTCCTGAATGAGCACTGGGTCAAAAATGAAATCAAGATGGAAACTAAAAAATTCTTCGAACTGAATGACAATAATGACACAACCTACCAAAACCTCTGGGATACAGCAAAGGCAGTGCTAAGAGGAAAGTTCATAGCCCTAAATGCCTACATCAAAAAGACTGACAGAGCACAAACTGACATTCTAAGGTCATACTTCAAGGAACTAGAGAAACAAGGACAAACCAAACCCAAACTCAGCAGAAGAAAGGAAATAACAAAGATCAGAGCAGAAATAAATGAAATTGAAATAATACAAAAGATAAATGAGACAAAAAGCTTGTTCTTGGAAAGATAAATAAAATTGATAGACCATTGGCAAGATTAACCAAAAAAAGAAGAGAGAAAATCCAAATAACATCACTAAGAAACAAAAAGAAGATATTACAACTGATACCACTGAAATATGAAAGATCATTCAGGGCTACTTTGAACACCTTCATGCACATAAACTAGAAAACCTAGAAGAGATGGATAAATTCCTGGAAAAAGACAACCCTCCTAGCTTAAATCAGGAATTAGGTACCCTGAACAGACCAATAACAAGAAGCGAGATAGAAATGGTAATTTAAAAATTACCAACAAAAAAGGTCCAGGACCAGATGAATTCACAGCAGAATTCTACCAGACATTCAAAGAAGAATTGGTACCAATCCTTTTGACACTATTCCACAAGATAGAGAAAGAGGGAACCCTCCTTAATTCATTTTATGAAGTCAGCACGAAAACCAGGAAGGGACATAACCAAAAAAGAAAACTACAGACCGATATTCTTGACGAACATAGATGCTAAAATTCTTAACAACATGCTAGTTAATTGAATCCAACAACATATCAGAAAGATAATCCACCATGATCAAGTGGGTTTCATACCAGGGATAAAGAGATGGTTTAACATATGCAAGTCAATAAATGTGATACACCACATAAACAGAATTAAAAACAAAAATCACATGATCATCTCAATAGATGCAGAAAAAGCATTTGACAAAATCCAGCATTGCTTTATGATTAAAACTCTGAGCAAAAGTGGCATACAAGGGACATACTTCAGTGTAATAAAAGCCAACTATGACAAACCCACAGCAAACATAATACTGAATGGGGAAGAGTTGAAAGCATTGCCTCTGTGAACTGGAACAAGACAAAGATGCCCATGCTGATCACTCCTCTTGAAGATAGTACTGGAATTCCTAGCCAGAGCAATCAGACAAGAGAAAGAAATAAAGGGCATCCAAATTGGTAAAGAGGAAGTCAAACTGTCACTGTGTGCTGACGATATGATCGTTTACTTTGAAAACCCTAAAGACTCCTCCAGAAAGCTCCTAAAACTGATAAAATAATTCAGCAAAGTTTCTAGATTCAAGGTTAATGTACACAAATCAGTAGCTCTTCTATACACCAACAGCAACCAAGCAGACTCAAATCAATACAATAGTTGCAAATAAAATAAAATACTTAGGAATATACCTAACTAAGGAGTCGAAAGATCTCTACAAGGAAAACTACAAAGCACTATTGAAAGAGATAATAGACAACACGAACAAATGGAAGCACATCCCATGCTCATGGATGGGTAGAATCAACCATACTGCCAAAAGTGATCAACAAATTCAATGCAATTTTCATCAAAATATGACCATCATTCTTCACAGAATTAGAAAAAAAATTCTAAAATTCATATGAAACCAAAAAAGAGCCTACATAGCCAAAGCAAGCCTAAGCAAAAAGAACAAATCTGGAGGCATCACACAACCTGATTTCAAACTATACTATAAGGCCACAGTGAACAAAGCAGCATGGTACTGGTATAAAAATAGGCACAAATGCAATAAAAACAAAGTTAAATAGCTGGGACATAATTAAACTAAAGAGCTTTTGCATGGCAAAAGGAACAGTCAGCAGAGTAAACAGACAACCCACAGAGTGGGAGAAAATCTTCACAATCTATACGTCTGACAAAGGACTAATATCCAGAATCTACAACAAACTCAAACAAATCAGTAAGACAAAAACAAACGATCCCGACAAAAACAAACGATCCCATCAAAAAGTGGGCTAAGGCCATGAATAGACAATTCTCAAATGAAGATATTCAAATGGCCAAGAAACATATGAAAAAATGCTCAACATCACTAAAGATCAGGAAAATGCAAATCAAAACCACAATGCAATACCACCTTACTCCTGCAGTAATGGCCATAATCAAAAATCAAAAAACAGTAGATGTTGGCGTGGATGCAGTCAATAGGGAATACTTCTACACTGCTGGTGGGAATATAAACTAGTACAGCAACTATGGAAAACAGTGTGGAGATACCTTAAAGAACTAAAAGTAGAAATACCATTTGATACAGCAATCCCATTACTGGGTATCTACCCAGAGGAAAAAAGTCATTATATGAAAAGGATACTTGCGCATGCATATTTATAGCAGCACAATTCACAATTGCAAAATCATGGAACCAACTCAAATGCCTATCAATAGGTAGATAAAGAAACTGTAGTGTGTGTGTGTATATATATATATATATACAAACTGTGGTATATATATATATATATACACAAACTGTGGTATATATATATTCCATCATATATATATATATTCCATCATATATATATATTCCATTATATATATATTCCATCATATATATATATTCCATCATATATATATTCCATCATATATATATATTCCATCATATATATATTCCATCATATATATATTCCATCATATATATATATTCCATTATATATATTCCATCATATATATATTCCATCATATATATATTCCATCATATATATATTCCATTATATATGTATATTCCATCATATATATATATTCCATTATATATATATATTCCATTATATATATATATTCCATTATGTATATATATTCCATTATATATATATATATATTCCATCATATATATATATATATATATATATGATGGAATACTACTCAGCCCTAAAAAGGAATGAATTAACAGCATTTGCAATGACCTGGATGAGATTGGAGACTACTATTCTAAATGAAGTAACTCAGGAAGGGAAAGCCAAACATCGTGTGGTCTCATTGATATGTGGGAGGTAAGCTCTAAGGACACAAAGGCATAAGAGTGATACAATGGACTTTGGGGACTTTGGGGGAAGAGTTGGAGGGGGGTGAGGGATAGAAGACTACAAATATGGTGCAGTGCTTAGGTGATGGGTGCACCAAAATCTCACAAATCACCACTAAAGAACTTAACTCATGTAACCAAATACCACCTATACCCCAATAACTTATGGAAAAAAATGTTAAGTTTTAAAAAAAGAAGAAATACAAACAATGTAAAAGTTATTCAGTAACCCCACTTTCCCAGGAGAAAAGCAGCATCCGCTGTCTAACCATCAACATCAATAGATCACAGTTGTTCATGAAAGCTGCAAAATTGGTTCAAACAAATCTACATTTCTATAGAAAGAGACATTTTATAACAAAAAAGAAACTGCTTTCTGTATGTTCTTCATTTATTTTATCATTAATTTATAACAAATTATATTTGAGACTCAGTTCCCAACACATAATATATGATGGTACATATATTTATCATTTCTCTAATATCTCTCCATGTTTTCTCCTTACTCTCTCTTATATTTTATTATAATAATAAACTAAATATGAGCTTTCCATATATCCCTTTTGTTTGAATATTATCCAGTTGGAAATGTGCTGATAGCCAACCTGAACAACTAGATATACAGTAAGTCAAGGTGGAAGGCTGGTGAGCAGTGATTTTTCATGATCTTGAGGAAAAGAACCAAAAGGAGTTAAGGTAACATTGCCTTGGGTGCCTCCTCTGGGATATTCATTTATGAGGAGATCCCATATGTAGCTCAGAAGGCATCAGACTTTCAGCAGGTTACAGGGATGGTGATGGAGGATGGAGGGAGACAATAGAACTGAGCAGGTAAATTGCAATAGTGGTTTGGTGAACTTTAGGAAAATACAACTCTATAGAGCTTTGACTCAATGGAAGCAGAGGGGAACTTATTTCACTTACACATTGTAGGATATAAATTGGAGAAAGAAGGGCATAAAAGGATGCCACTATCCTCTGTGGATCAGCTAATTTTTCCATCTGTGCTTTGGAGCTCTAGCTGTAAACATCCCAACCTGAATTTGTCTTCAGTCTGTTGTTCTGCTTTGCTTGTATGTCATGGCCAGTTTATGACACCCATTAATGACATTCTGCCCACCCTAATGCTTACTTTAATTCCAGAACAATGAAAAATTCCTGCAGTAGGTTTCTAGACACCAGGGCATTATTTAATGTGAGTTGTTATAACAGTGCCTGCAGTTCTATTCTCATACATACATACATAATTTACATTTAAATAGGCAAGATGGCCACACAGGGATGCCTGGCACAAGCACAATGCCACCTGCATAAGGGAAAACACAGTATTTTATGAGACAAAAGCATCAGTTATTTCCAGGAATGTGCACAATGTGTAGCACTAAGTAAAACAATATGATTCAAAAGACTTAAACTAACCAGGGGGCCGTAGGGGTAAAAGTAAAGGAAGTCTTACAGAGAAGATAAATTAAAATTTGGAAAGTTTACATGCGATAATAGAAATAATGTTTTTCCAAGTTTCCAACATACCTTCCCAAAGTAACAAGTTAGGGTAGAAAGAAAGACTAAACAATACAGGAAAAATTCATTTAAGCACCTTAAAAAAAGTATAGATTGTCTTAGTTTTGTGTATCTTCAGCTACAGCACTTGTTTGAAATAATATTCATTTTAATATAAAATAAGTAAAATATAAGAAGATTACAAAGAGTATACACATATACACAAAATCAGAAGTAGCCTCTTTATGATTTTACTTTCTAGCAATTTTACTTCTCATTGTTGCAAATTTTTATGTATTTAAAAAATTATTTTACTAGTCATTTTACTTCTCATTGTTACAAATTTTTATGTATTTAAAAAATTAAATTTGGGGCCTGCATCCTCCCTGTTTCTCTGAGAAATAGTTTTCAGAATACTAGGGAGTTGTGATGTCTCTCATTAGCATGGGAAATTGGCTGGCATTCTTTAGGCAAGGGATGTAGTGTTTTGAAAGGACCTTCCATTCCACCTTTTACTCAACAATGAGGAATAGGTGGACAGCCTTCCTTGGCCACTGTCTCCCCAACCCCCAAACTCACACCATTCTGCCCCATGACTTGAGCTAATTTGCAGATAATCTTTGCTCTCTTTTTCTCCTACAGTTTTTAATACTACACCCGTTTGTGAAATGAAGAAATGCTTTTTTTCTCATAAATTTTAGCAAATTTCTCTTTTCATATTGCATTTTTTTTCTGTCAGTTTCTCAAGTAAGTGTGGCATTCATAAATTTAGTAGTGATACTGGAAAAACCAACACTTTTTTTTTTTAAGACACAGTCTGGCTCTGTAGTATAGGCTGGAGTGCAGTGGCATGATCTTGGCTCACCGTGCAGCCTTCTTCTCCCGGGTTCAAGCTATCTCCTGCCTCAGCCTCCCGAGTAGCTGAGACTACAGGTACACGCCACTGAGCCCAGCTAATTTTTGTATTTTTAGTAGAGATGGGGTTTCACCATGTTGGCCAGGCTTGTCTCGATCTCCTGACCTCGTGATCCACCGCCTCGACCTCCCAAAGTGCTGGGATTACAGGCATGAGCAACCGCGCCCAGCCCAAAACCAACACTTTGAAGCGAATCAACTTTGCTATTACTCTTAATGGTTTATTGTCTCAAACTGATTAGATTTAAGCATGCAGATATACAATGACTAAAACCTCTGGAAACGCTAGAAAATTTAAATGATAATCAATACTGCCTGCTTAATATCTTACATCATTTAGCAGTTTTCTACAAGATGTGTCTAAACTGGAAATACGTTTGTTAATTTTCAGTATTAGTTCATGCTAGGTGAGTCATACAGTGATCTTTTTTTAAAAAAAATCATGGTTTTGCAATCATGCTTTCTTAGGAAAGTTGGGGTATATATAGGCAGGCTGGGGAAATTGTTTAGCAAATTTACAAGGCTATGCCATATTGTGTTTAAATGTCTTCTGCTTTATATTTTGAGTCCCAGTTTTATTCTTTTCTAAAATTAATACCAGAGTAAGAAATTCTAAAAAGGCAAATCTAAAAATGTCTGTGTTGAACATATGCTAGGAAATTTTGTCCTAAATCTATTATTTTGCAACCCTGTACATTGCATATTCTTCATTGTTTGTAAATAACTTTTATGCCTTTATCTGCAATAAGGACTTGAAAACGTCTGTTTCAGAAGTGTTCCTAGGAGATGTTTGCTGCTAAATTTTTAAGAAATGTATTATATTTGTACAGTTGACCTCATCATAAATGCCTTGGGTTTTGGAACTTAGTGGCTGATTCTTTGTGGCTCTGAACTATTTCAGTATATCTTGCACAAAACTTAGTCTCCAAGGAATCACCCTCCCCTGAGTTTACAAGGCATTATGTCTATTGCCCTCATAACATGTTAATCAGAAGATCACCCTCTCAGTGTTTCTAGTGTTCATATCAGATCTAGGTAGATTTCATATCAGATGTACACAGGAACTACTCTAGGTGCTAGTGAGTCCTTGGCAAGTAAGGCAAGCCAAGTCTCTGCCTTTATATTTCAGTGGGAGAGGAAGCAAAAACAGGAGCAGTAAATAATATCAGGATGTGATAAGGGCTATGAATAAAAATAAGCATGGTAAGGGGGTAGAGCGGAGAAGACCTGCCTATAACATGTAATCAAGGGGGTTCTCTTTGAGGAGGTAACAGCTGAGTATAGAATTTATGAAATGAGGAAGTGTATAATGTACGCTTCCCAGTAGAGGAAACAGCAAGTGCAAAGGCCCTGAGGTGACATGTTCATTGCATGTTTGCTGAGAAGACCAATATAGCTTAAGCACTGGGAGAGGAAAAATAGTGTTATAATTAGTTTAAAAAGTAAATCTGGGGCAAGAATATAGAAGGCCTAGCAAGCCATGGTAAGTTCAGTCTACTTGCACTGGTACAACCAAACTTATTATTTAAATAGTGAAACATGTCCACACCACTGAGTAAACATCAGCTGTCTGGAGCCTTTTATTATCTCCCTGCCTCAGCAGATGCCCTGATCTCTTTCTCAGAATTGATTTATCAGTAGCAGGTGGGATGATTGATACTATCAAGTTACTTGCTATATGTTTTTAATTTAACCACTGACAGTGAGGATTCAGGTCTCTATTTTAATAAACTGTGATGGAAAGTTACTGGAGGGTTTTGGATAATGGGCAGGGAGTATATGTCACACAATCTGATTTACTAATTTAAAATATCAGAATATACTAAAGGCATGGAAGGAATCAAAGCAGAGACATCATTTAGAAGGCTATCATAGAAGTTCAGGCAAGAGTTGACAGCACATTAGGCCAGGGTGGTAGAGATGGCATGACGGCGTCAACTTGATTGGATTGAAGGACGCAAACTATTGTTTCTGGGTGTGTCTGTGAGGGTGTTGCCAGAGGAGATTAACATTTGAGTCAGTGGACTGGGAGAGGAAAGCCCACCCTCAATGTGGGTGGGCACCATCCAATCAGCTGCTGATGTGGCTAGGAAATGCAGGCGGAAGAAGGTGGGATAAGCTGGTTTGCTGAATCTTCTGGCTTTCATCTTTTTTTCATGCTGGGTGCTTCCTGTCCTTGAACATCAGACTCCAGGTTCTTCAGTCTTTGGACTCTTGGAGTTCACTTACACCAGTGAACTCCCTTTCATATGTACATATATCCTATTAGTTCTGACCCTCTGGGGAGCCCTAATACAGATGAAGAAGGTGAGGCTTGGTCACAGTCAGAATTATTATGTTTTGATGGTTGTATTGTTATCTTTTGACTTGGTCACAGTCACAATTATTATTATATTTTGACGGTTGTATTTCATATATAGGCTGGAGTGAGCTGTGGTGACAAGTGGAACCCAAAACATGTGATGGCCACAAACAAAGTGGAAATGTATTTTTTATTCATTAATATTAACAGTTTGGGTTCTCAAATCCATACAGATTAACAAGAGTACAAAAAGCAAGAGACGGGTGAATAAAATTATAATTGTGCTTTTAAAGTTCTTACATTGTTTGTGTTCACTTGAGTGCTTATAGGTAGGACTGTGAGTATACGTAAAAAGGAATAACTGAGAGATGCATATTGTAATTTCTAGAGCTAAATGTCAAAAGCTATTTTGATATTTATCAAAAGAAAAAATGATAAATGTTTGAGATCATGAGTATGCTAATTACTCTGATCTGATCACTATACATTATAGGTATCATAACATCACTACATACCCCACAAATATGTACAATTGAGTCAATTAAAAAATGTAAAAAATATAAATAGAAAACGATATTTCTTCTGCATATAGGAGCGTAGGTTAATTTATTTTTAACTTTAGTACTCTAAGGATGTTATTTCATTGTCTCTGGCTTCTATTGTTTCTAGTAAGAAGTTAGCCATAATTTGTATTTTCTTCATTTATGGTGTGATGCTGGCTAAATCTGCTTGTATTAGTCCATTCTTATACTGCTATGAAGAAATGCCCAAGACTAGATAATTTATAGAGAAAAGAGGTTTAATTGACTCACAGTTCCACATGGCTAGGGAAACCTCAGGAAACTTACAATCATGGCAGAAGGTACCACTTCACAGAGTGGCAGGAGAGAGAATGAATGCCCAGTGAAGGAGGAAGCCCCTTATAAAACCATTAGATCTGGTGAGAACTAACTTACTATCATGAAAACAGGGTGGGGGAAACCACCCCCATGATTCAATTATCTCCACCTGGTCCTTCCCATGACACATGGGGATTATGGGAAGTACAATTCAGGATGAGATTTGGGTGAGGACACAGCCAAACCATATTACTGCTTTTAACATTTTTTACAATCTTTGATTTTGTTTGGTTGTGTGTGCTTTTGTTGTATTTATACTTTTTGTATTTCATTGAAATTTGTGGACATGTGGGTTGATATCTTTCATCAGTTTTGAAAAGTTCTCATATATTATCTCTTCAATTTTTTTTCTGTTCTGTTATTTTTTTCTGTTCTTCTCATTCTGAAATCATAATTATATGTATATTACACTACTTGAAAATATTCTACAGATCTTAGATGCCTTGTTCTAGTTTCTGTAGTCAAAAAAAAAAAAACAAATTTTGATGAGCAATTAACCCTCCCTTGCAAAAGTAAGAGCTAAAGGGATCTTCTTATATGGGATGTGCAAGAAGAAAGGTAAAAGGCAGGCCACAAGATGTTTACCTGAGTAACTCAGTGAAAGATGGTTCCCTTTATTGAGATTCACCTCATGGGGAAGAAAAGGGGAAATAGAAAAATAATTAACACTATGGTTATAGACATGTTAGGTTTCAGGTACCTAAAAGAAACAAGAGATTTCAAATATCTAAAGCTCCAAGTTTATTAGTTACCATGCCACAGATAGTATTCTAATTTTTTAGCAGTCCAGTGGTGGTTCAGAAATATTCAAATTTTTGGCACTGATGAGAATGCCTGGGAAGAATGTATAGATAGGAAATTTGAAGACTGAGCCCTGAGGCATACTGATGCTCAGACTTTGGAAGAGAAAGAGGATCCTGCATAGGAGATTGAGAAGCAAGAGGAGGGAAACCCAGAAAGAATCTTGTTCTGGAAGCCAGAGAAAGATGTTTCAAAGACAGTGTGATCAATTGTGCAAGATGGTGAGATGTTGAGAAGGTGAGCCATGAATATAGACTCACAGGTTTGGCAATGTTGAGGTCATTGTTGACATTGATAGGAACATTTTCAGTGTGGTAGTGAGGATGAATGACTAGTTGGAGTGGAGGTTAAGAGAGAATAGGAGGAAAGAAAATGGAAATGTCAAATATAGACCAACTATTTCAGCAAGTGTATTAGTTTCCTATTGATGCTGGAACAAATTTTTACAAATGGAATGGCTTAAATAATACAAATTTATTACCTTGCTGTTTATTTTAGAGCTCAGGAGTCTCACTGGGTTAAAATGTTGGCAGGGCCTCGCTCCTTCAGGAGAACTTAGGGGACGATCTGTTCTTTGCTTTTTCCACCTTCTAGAGGCTGCCTAGGTTCCTTAGTTCACAGCCCTCTGCCATCTGCAAAACCAGCAATTGCATTCCTCTGACCTCTTCCTCCACTGTCACATCTCCTTTTCTGATTCTGGTTTCATAAAGACTTTCGTTATTACATCAGACCCACCTAAACAATCTAGGATTATCTTCCCATCTCAGAATCTTTAATTTAATCACATCTGAAAAAATCAATTTCCCATGTAAGGTAACAGATTTGGGGGATTAGGATATGAACATTAGGATGCCATTATTTTGCCCAGCACAGAAGAGTTTCTATACTTCAGTTATGCAAAAATGTGCCAGTTTACATTGCTAAGTGGACTTTGACAACATTTAGAGGTTATTTATTAAAAATCACAATAATCTTAAATGAATAGATACTGGCTGAGTATAGTTTTAAAGACACCTTTTTAAAGTGCTTTATTACTATTGATTTGAGAAAACCCTGAACTATTTTTCTAATATAGACTCCCTAGACAGACACACTTACCTGCAAAGGGACACAATTTACATATGAATTCTATGTTAATACGTAATAAAATCTTATCCTGTTGTGGAACACGGTGTAGTCTAAACAATTTTTAAAAACTAACAGGAATATAAAATGCACATGGTAATTTCTTCCCCTGAAACTCTTTTGAACATTATGGCTAGTCTATATAATTACAGACTGTAATTATAAACTAATACTTTGGACCTCAAAACAACAATTACTGATTTCACAAAGCAACAAAGATTGTGTGTATGTGTGTGTATGTGTATTTGAAAAACAAGGCAATATGTTTTTTTTTTTTTTTGTATGATGTTAAGTCCTTTTAGCTTATTTATTTGGAGTCCTCTTAGCTCCAAATTGAAGTGGCTTACAAAAATACATGTAACATAATAAGATTAAAAAAACTACTAATAGGGAAAATAGAATAGAATATTAAGACGATGACAGAGGAAAATGTATATGGAAATCATATATAATAAGCCCATACTAGATAATAACACATAATATATGTGTGCATTAAAAAATATATATAGTTGAGGCTGATAAGGTAAGAATAAATTTTACAAATGGTATATAGATTGATATGATTGTTGAAATGAGTGTTCTATTTAACTTCCTTAAAAAGGAATAATGTTATAGAACTTCCTGCTGCCTTAGTTTATTAATACCATGAAAAGGTAGTGTCCAGTTTGTTTTCAATTTAATTTTAAATAACAGGCACTAAGACAAAATAAACATTCTAGCTGTTAGAAGATGATTTACCAGGAGAGTTGTGGAAAAGTACCATTTTAAATCTCCAATTATGTGTTTCTGTGTTTACCAAAGCTTGTACTTAACACAGATAAAGAGATATGCTCTACTGAGGAAGTGGCTTTCAAAAATAAATTTGATAATAAATTGAAGTGATCATTTCAAACCATGTTCCCTTTCTTTTTGCCACTCCCTTGAAGTTGTATCTTATCTCCTTCCCCCAGCTTTGATGAATTTTTGTAATCTTTGAACTTCCATTACCTTCAAATATGATTCCCTTCCTCTCATGGACTTTCAGAAACTCATTTATTATTAAGTAGTTGAATGTATGACACTCATTGTACTTTAAAAAAAGTTATATGTGCTCTGTTTTATTTCTACATGATTTCAATGCATTAAATTCTTTTAGGTTATCCATATTTTTTCAACACTCACAGAGCTTGACTCATTTATGTCTAGAAAACAGCAAAATATATGATCACTTCACAGGGTAAAACAAAATAAATCTTCCTCTAGTTCTTCCTTTGTTTACTGTGGTCAAGGTTACTCAAGGTAAACATGTTACTCTCCTCCTTGCCGCCTCTCCCATGACTTTAGAAATAGAATAGAAAGGGTGAAATCGGCCTAATAGTCAAGCCTCTACACTGGCTAAGCTCAGACTATTTCCATTTGGGAAAACACGGTTGAGACGTTCTTTACAAAGGTTGATCCTCTTTGTAGAAGTATATATAGACATATTCAGAATATATATATATATATTCAGAGTATTCAGAAGTATATATAGACATATAGACATATTCAGAATGTTCCTGCACACTCTAGACAGGCTGGGTTCTCTGATTCCACAGAAGTCCAGGCCCTCACTCCTACACCAGTGCAAAAGTTCACTGGTTATCCTCTTGACTAAATTTTACTTCTAAGCCCCACTCTCTATCATCTCAATAACAAGTTAAAGCGCTAACATAACTAAAATAACTAGTATATATTGAGAGCTTAGTACATACCAAGTTTTACGCTTTTTATGAACTATCTTATGTAATTTTTGTGACAATACAATGAAGTGTCATTATCAACCTTTTATACATGAGAAAATAAAGCCTAGAAGGCTGAGTAATTACATATTTACATGGTCAGTAAATGGCAGAGCCAAGATTCAAACCCAAACGTAGGACTGGTTCATTTCAGAGAGTTGGTTCTTAGGTAACTATACTTAAACATTATTTTTACCCTACAGCCTAACGATTTCTAATTATATTTTAATTATAGAAAGTTTAGATACTTCATCCTATTAAAAAATAATAATTACAGCTAGCATGGATTAGACCCTTACTACAGAGCCAGGTGATTTTCTTAGTTCTTTATGTTATTTTCCAGTTAAAATCACACAACTTTTAAATTTTTAATAAACTTAAAAAAAATCTAACTTTCAGGGTAGGTCCTTTAAATTTAAAAAAAAAATTTATAATTAAGGAAACTGAACTTCAAAGATGTAAAACCACTGTGCAAAAGCACTCAGCTAAATTATGGATCTGTAATTCAAACTCAGGCCTGCCTAATATCAGCAGGTTAATATTTTCATAATTCTGCACATTTCAGGACTCCTAAGCAAAGAAAACTAGTACCTGAGTTAAAGGACAAGCCTGGGAAAAGGAAATAAAAGATGACTGAATAAATAATGAGCAATCTATGGAGAGAATTGAAGATTTATTTCTAAATATGTTCACTTTTCAAAGCAAGATAAAGCCTGGAGTCATGAAGCCATCTGTTCACATTCTGAAGGACTGTAAAACATTAGGGAGGAAAAGTTTCTTTTCTCTTTAGGAGGGAAGAGGGAATAGCATGTAGCCTGTATGAGCTTCCATAATTATATTTCAGGCATCCTCACATGTGGTGTAAGAAATCCCCTTTGTGCACAGGCAGAGTCTATCTGGTTCTCTCCCAACACTCTGAATGGCATTGGAAACCAAATGAGCATCGGAAACCAAGGCCGTTATTGCTGTAAGTACTAATAGTCAGTCCCTTACCCTGACACCTCGGGTTTGCTTTCAGGATAATATAAATAACATAGATATTAAAAGCTTATTTCCCAACTTCACATAACATTCCAACACTGTGATGTTTTCTTTCAAAACTCTCCATAATTCTACTCTATCCTATGAACATTCTACTATTTTCTACTGTTTCTGAAATGAACTCTAGGTTCTCCTCCTTACTATCACACAGAATGGGTTTGCTATACCTGAAACATTTTTATTCCTCTCTCCTGGTTTTCTTTTATCCTTTCTACTTAACTTATGCATATATTCAAAGTCTAATTTAAATCCCACATTCTGTAAAAATCATTTTTTCATCATTTTGCTTTTGAAGCCCATCATTAGACTTCATGCAATTGTCTCCACTATTATTTATTATTGTGCTAGGTTTGATTTTCCTCCAGATGTGCTATTACTGAGTTATTAGCTCCTAAAAGTAGAGTACAATAGTAGTTCTGAAAGCCAGGAAACAAACTCATAAATGGATCAATGGTGCTTACCTAGAGGGCATCCAGAGAGATGTGTGTGTGTGTGTATGAGTGTGTGTGTTTGCATGTGTGTTCACATGTGTGTTCACATGTGTGCTCGAGGAGCCAATACTTTGAATGTTAGAGAAAAAGCTGAATCAGAGTTTGTCAAGTATTGAATATAAGAACTAATAGAAGACAGAGGGATAGACAAATTTGGAAAGATGAGAATGCATTACATAATGGAGAAAAAACAGGCTTTTTGGCAAGGAAAATCACTGACAAAAATGGTTTGCAATTATTAGCACCTTAGTACACTCTGAAAAAGTCTTATTAAGGCAGCAGTCATTCCTTTCACTAGATAAAATAGAAATTGAGTTTTGATAGATAGAAAAAATTTCCAGTGAAGATGTCACAGAGTGACACAAAGACAATGCAGACTTGTAACCTGTGCTGTTGGAAAGCTATGTAAAGAAGACATTAAGTTTTTAAAAAAATTTTATTTTTCCAGAAGTTATTGGGGTACAGGTTGTATTTGGTTACATGAGCAAGTTCTTTGGTGGAGATTTGTGAGATCCTGGTGCACCCATCACCAAAGCAGTATACACTGCACCATATTTGTTGTCTTTTATTCCTCACTCTGCTCCCACTCTTCAACCCAAGTCCCCAAAGTCTATTACAAGTTTGGACTATTGTCCAACCCTGTGCAGTCGGGTGGCAGTGAGAGATATCTTGAAGGATAGGCACCTTCTGGAAGATAGGTGGTGGGAATCTGTGTATAAAATGAAGTTTGGAGGGGCTCAAATTCAAACCTTTGCTCTCTCATTTTGTCTAGAACCAACTGAGCCTTGAAGGGGACAACTAAATGTGTCCATGGCACAGTCACCCGTTATTAATTATGAATTACTCAATTTTGTCCCTTCTTGTCCCATTTACTATAAAATGCAGAGGTTCAGAAAAGACTCAGATGATTAAAATAAGAGGTTAAATTTAAAAATATATAAAATGTAAATTATGTCTGTGTGTGCTATGTGGTATACATTATGTAGTGAGGAGTTGGAATCCAACATACCAGGGTTTGAACTCCAGCTCTGTATTCAAAGCTTATATGTGACCTTGAGCAGGGTAGATAATCTTCCTGATGTTCAGTGTTACATATCTGTGAAATGCAAAAAAAAAAAAAATTCTTTACATTAGAATGTTGTAAGGGTTATATGAATTCATATGAAGACAGTCTTGGATCTAGCAAATACTAGGTACTCAATAAATATTATTTGTTATTACTATCACATTGTTATACATTATCATAACAACAATTCTTCATGTTTTTTGAAGGGCGTTCCTCAGTAGTTGTAGAAACCCAATAATGTTTTCTTTTAGCTGCCATACACATAACTCTTGGTAAGACTTTAGATTCTGTTGTGCATTTCTCAGGTTTCCTCAAGAGTCATCGGGTGTCATGCTTCAGGTCCTGGTCAGTCACCATGATACGCATTTAGTTAATTTAGGAATTTAGAAGCTAATGGCCTCATTGCAAACCCCTTGACATTTTAAAACAAGCCAAATAAAGCAAGCAGGAGAGTATTTTACATGAACTCTCTAAACAGAGAGGGTTATCAAGTTCATTTACATGTTTACCAAGGCTGCCAGCCATCCTGACTTGTTTGGTTGAAGACTGTTTTTATATGAACTGAACTCTGTTTCTGATGGTCTGTTGGCAGTAAAACAGCATGAAATCTCACTCATCATTATTACTTACTCAATGGACATGTTTTCCATCAGTAAAGTTTGGTAATAGTCAGAGTTTGAGATGCATCATTTCTAACCATGTATACGGTGCTAGAGGCAACAAAAATCATTAAAATTTGGCTCCTGGTATAATGACAAGGTGCATGAATGGGGTGGAAGTTGTAAAGGACTATAAAACTGTTAAATTTTGTGTGTGGGAGGAAGAAATTATTTGTAAAACCCGTAAACTTCTTTAGGCCAAATATCTATTACCTGCTAAATGGCACTCTTGGTTTTCCTTACAATTTCTTAAAAAAAAAAACAAACAACCTTGCTACTACAAATTTAAGGCCTAGGCCACATTTAAAAGAAGAAAAGGCATTTTTAGTTTTAGAAACTGTTACCTCAAAAGCAAGAATTGCACATGAGGTTTTGCAATATTTTCTAAAGCATTTACTTATATTTTATGAATATGATGAATTTAAAAATATGAATTCTCAAAGGAGAAATGTTTTTTAAATATTGATAACTTTAAATAAACACTTTTAGTATACCAGTAAATATAATTAAAGCATACCAGTAAACTATTAATAGTTTAGGGAAATTGATGAATTGAAAGTAAACCACCATTTTATCTGTATCTATGTCTATATCTGTATCCATATCCATGTATCTGTATCAGTATCTATATATCCATATTTGAGAAGAGATAAGAAATGCAAATCAGCTTGTTATCAATAATATTGTGTAAATGAATATGATATAATCAGATAGGAAAATACAATAAAAGTTCTCTGTCACGATAGAACCAGCACTTCAGTCATTCACTGTCATATGTTGCTTTGAACAGCATTTATCCAAATTTTAATGTTAGTGAAAGGTAGGATTTGATGAGATATAAGATTATAGAGTGCTTAGCTCTTAGATCAGACCCAATAGTTTCTTGATAAACTTTAATCCACCCATCCAATTCCATTAGTAAATCAGCAGTAGTGCAATTTGAAATCACACAGCTACGGCTACTTATGTCAAGTGGGTAAGGATAACTCAGGCTCTGGTTCAGTAAACTGCCAGTAAACAGATCCCAGATCTTCAGAGGCGGAAGGCTCAGTCAATCAATCTTTATTAGGTTAAAAAGTCTGAGCAAGAATAACAGTACCAACAGAAAGAAATTTTAGGAAGGATTTTAAAATTTAATTTTAATTTAATATTCCTACTAAAATGGGGAATGACGAAAAATAAAAAGATAAAAGTCACTTTTTATAGATAGGTTGGGTTTTACTAAATTCCGATGTGGAAGAACCTTCTACCAATTGGTATCTGGCCTTTCTGAGTTACTCAGAGAGGACAACTGAAAGTCATATGAACCCATTTTGAAAATCTGTTTCCCTACATCTTTAAAAATAGATTTTGTTACTTGCCTTATTTTACCTTTGACCTAATTAACTAACCTAAAATTATAATAGGACTAAAATTATAGTCTGGACTTTGTGTGCCCTGAAAATTTCATCTATTTGACCCAAATATATTGAGTAACTACTAAGTGATAAGAACTCTAGCTGCTAGGTGCTGAAAAGACAGACACATTTCTTATCCTTCTGGAACTTACAGGCCAGATTTGGATAAATAAAACCAACTCTAATATAGCATTATTTGTATGATGATAAGAACGTCTAGGTTAGGAGCTCAGATGAGATTTGTGTCAGGAAAACCTTCAAAATTGAAATCCGAAGTATGAGTTGGAATTAGTCACATGAACAGTGGGGGAATGTTTCATCCAAGGATAATATGAAAGTATAGACTTAGAGAATGTGTGGTAATTCTAAAGAACTGGAGAAAGGTCTATGTTGTTGGGGTTGAATTTAGGGAAGAAGTTAGGTATCAGATGAAAGAGGCAAGCTGGGCTCTCTGATTGTAAACACATTGCTAAACCAGGTCAAAGAGTTTGAAATTTCTCAAAGGCTAGGGAGATGCTATTGAAGAACTGTAAACCATGAAAAGCATAGTTATAGAAAGGTTGTGTTGCAATGTAGCAAATAGATTGGAAGAAAACAGGGTACATAACTAGGAAACTGGGCGAAAACTTGGGCTTAAGTGAAAGATGATGGTAGTCTGGATTAGGGAAGTGATAGCAGAGGTGAAGGTAAGTGGATATGTGTGTTTCACGGAGGGCAGAGGGGTGGTCATGGTTAATAATGTACACAGGGCAACAGGTGGGAGTAGAATCTGGCCCTACTTCCTGGTTTAGGGATTAGAGCAGGACAATAGACTAATGAAAGAACATAATGGATATTTAAACCAGTTTATTTTGAGATGCCTGTGGCATAGATGAGTTGTATGCAGTTTAATATAGTAATCTGAAGCTCAGGAGAAAAAGTAGAGTCGTAAATGTAGATTTCTGCGTTTTCAGAGTGTACATGGTTATCAGAGCCATGCGAGCGTTGAGATAGTCTGAAGGGCAGACTATATGCAATGAGAAGAAGGGAAAGTTTAGGTCAGGGACATCAATTCCTTTCTTAGTGACTCATCTTCCTCTTTTATCATACTCCTCTCCCATATGGGTAATAGGAAGAGTCACAAAAGGTGGAAAACACACAATGCTTTAAATTATTTGGAAGAAAAATTTACATAATACAGAGAAGGAAGTTAAAGGATAGAGACCTGGATTATACACATAACAATGTAATGGTTTGGGAGACTTTCTAATGAGGTCTCTGTTCAAATTGAGAGTCCTATCCCATCAAAATAGTGGTATAAGCATGAAGGAGCAATTAATTCTATACCTCTGCTAGACATACACTAAAAATGTTTTGGAACTGCTAATTGTTCCCTAATCATCCATAAAAGTAGTCTAATAAGTCATCTGTAAAATTTCTTAAGGTGTTCATTCATTCATTCATCCATTCATTCATGCATCCATTCATTCATTCATTTCTATTTTAAAGACAAATTTTGCATATTATATGATTTGAGCTAACACCACTACAAATATTTCCAAACAGCTGCATTGTCCTTCACTTCTAAAACAGCCTGTCTCCAATTCTGCAACAGTCAAGCTCCTGCAATAGCTCACCAGTTTATAGAAAACGTATCAAGTGCCCTGTGGTTTTTGAGAAGCCTCAAGGCCTTTTATTTTCAGGAAATAGATCTATAAACACTTAATAAATTAATGTTTGCAAGGACAACAGAGCATATGTCATACAAATGATCATGAAGAACTGCCTGGCACAGTGAATGCATTCAGTTAGAGTGTAATTTATATATTTCGCTTTTAAGAAGTTACGATAGAAATAGCTCCTCTATAGACATTACCAAATGTTACCAGAGAAAGATTTCTGCTACACTCACACTTTAGATAGTCAGTTCTGAGGGAATTCGTTTTATCAACAGGGAAGATTTACCCTGCCAATCAAGCTAGAGGAAGACAGTGAACAGCTTGGCCTATATTGAAGTGAAGATCCTTTGGAAGCTTCCGTTATTATCCCCTTTTGTAATCTTTTTGTTCTTTTTGTTTTTGTAATGTAACATTTCTTATCTCTAAATGGAGTAGTCCCTTCCTCTTTTTCTATTCTTCTTTTAGAAGAAAAGAGAAACTTTTTGTCAGTTCTGGGACATGAAAAGAAAAACCTGTCAGGGCAGTGGTAAATGGGTAGTGGGTATAATGGGAAATGATATTGTGTCTTCTTTCAGGGCTTAGAGACAACAAAAATTGCCTTGGACAAGTCACTTGATGTGTCATTCTCTGGCCTATGACTCAGCAGGGGTCCTTGACCTTTGCTAGGCCCCCTCCAAAATCCTACTCATGCTAGCTTCTCAGTCAGATTGTCCCTGGACAACTGGTAACTCCCAAACTCCCACCTCAGAGATTCCAATGAATTGAAAGCAAAATGGAAAATATCTTATTAATCCAAGTGAGCATTCAGGAATAAGTGAGAGAAACTTCTTAGAAATGAATTCAGATCTATACACATTTCCTCAATTCATTCGGGTCTTTTTTATTTATAAAGAAATATTTTTGGGTTTTTTGTTTTGTTTTGGCATATGTTTTATTAAGTTGCTTTGAAATATTTGTTTTTGTTTGGATTTGCTGTGGAGTAAATTTAAGCATTACAGAAGAAACTAAACAAACTGTAAGGAATTGAATGAATACAGAAAGTTACCCACAGCTGATTTTATATTTGCACAGGTATGTGAATATTTTAGGTGGAAACTCAAGAGAAGATATTTCTTCATAGACTACAGAATTTTTTTTTTTTGCAGGTATTAGAACATTTCCCTGAGCAGTATTCACTGTTTTTATTAGTTGTGGTGATAAAAGCTTTCGAAGAAAAATAAAGTGAAAGCATGAAAAATTATCCAATCAAATGGGTGTGCCAGAAGTAGTTTTATACTTATTTCAGCCACATGTGTGAGAAAAGTATCTAGTGTTCAGGTAACTAGTGAAATGAAGAAATAATTGAGAGTTATAATGGAACAATGTAGTTAAGAAAAGGGCAAACTGATGAAGACTTTTGAAGCCAAAGCAAAGGTAACAAACATGAGGAGAAAGCGGTGGGTCTGTGTTAGAAATTGAAGGTTGGTTAACATCATGACAGTATGTGCTTTCCTTAGATGGCTAGGTGTGTTTTCACGGAGATGAGCTCCAGCTAGGGAGGAAGGGTGCGTTTTTGAGAAAAGGATGTAGATAGTCTGGTTAAGAAAAGTCATGGTACCTGTTGTTTAAGTGGCATAAAGGAAACAAAATATTTTACTGGAGTGACAAGTCCTCCCTGGAAAATTTTAGGGGATTTTTGTATTTTTTTGAGACAGGGTGTTGCTCTGTTGCCTGGGCTGGAGAGCGATAGCGTGATCGCAGCTCACTGCAGCCTCGGCATCCCGAGCTCAAGCAATCCTCCTCCCACCTCATTTTCCCAAGTAGCCAGGACTACAGGTATGCGCCACCACACCCAGCTTATTATTTTTATTTTTTTCATAGAGATGGGTTCTAAATATGTTGTCCAGGCTGGCCTCAAACTCCCAAACTTAAGTGATCCTTTTGCCTTGGCCTCCCAAAGGTCTAGGATAACAGGTATGAGACACCATACCTGGCAAGAAAATATTTTTAATGGCACATATTAAGTGGTTCTAGTGGAATGTTATAATTCCGAGAGCATCTACTCATTCACCTTAGTTTAAAAACATTAAGGAAGAGGTGTCTTTATTAACATCTCTCTGTCACACTATACATATATATCCAAGCCCTGTTCATTTTTTTTTCTGTATAAGATCCCTCAAACTTTCATGATTCCAACTCCACGGTCATACTCATTGCTTGAAATATTTAAATATTTTATCCTATATGATAAAATTCAAACTTCTCGCTTGATGTAAAGTTCATGATCTTTTATCTCTTATTAGTCTTATTTCTCATCTCCCTCTAACTTGTACTATTCTTTCTTATAACCATACAAATCCACATGTGTTTTTTCTACCATATTCTCCTTCTGCCTGGAATGCTCTTCTACTTCCTGGGGTATATTTTACTATTAATTAAATTATGTCCCTCTTTTTGTGAAGCTTTTTTTGTCCCTTTAATCTGAATTAGAGGTCTCTTCCATATCCTTTCATTATGGGACTTATCATAGTGCATTACAATTTTCTGTTGATTTTTTTTACTTCCCTTATTTTCATAGCAAGGTCTATGTCCTTTAGGTATTAAATTCTTGCACCCACCAAATAAGGTAGACCCTGGTAATCTGTGTATACAATGAATGAAATTATGCAATAACGCTACATGGAAAACTAATATTTTAAAAAATGGAAGTTTCAATAGTGCTACTGTAAAATACTTTTATATCTCGATAAGCAAAGATCATAGTGTTTGTAGTACAATTCCTATGCTTTTGCAATCAAGAGGATACTCAAAAGTGCAAGTGCAATGCAAGAGGCTAGATTACAGCTAATCACATTTTCTTGGAACTGCTCTTGCCCAAGAACTAGTACAAGAGAAATGTTACCTCTCTCTTCCCTGAGTGATGCCAAGTGGTACACAAAACATGGAATGAAAATATAGTCATTTTTTACATACCATATAGCCTCTTGTGAGTATCCTGAAAGACCTAAGATAAATTTGGTAAAAATCATACTAACAATGTATATTGATTATAAGGAGATATTTTATAAAAATGATTATTAAAAAATGCACTGCATTTTCACCGTGTGTATATAAACACATAAGTATAATGCGGCGAAATGCATTTTTCCAAATCAAATCTTACTGTAGGGATGGGGTATTCCCTTCATTTTCACTTACACATCCAAAGATTCCCTTAAGGACTTCCTTTGAAACTTTAGTTCTGAAAAGCATTGTTTGAAAAGTGTCAACTTAAAAAAAGAACATGACTATATAGGACATGTCAAATGTCATCAAACTCTTTTCTTATCCTTATATTCTAGAGATTTTTACAGAATAATAGATTTTGCTTTGCAAAATCTAGGCACCCACAGGTTATATAAAATCTGAGACCCTGTAAAACGTTCAATTTTCTATAAGAGTATCAAAATTCCATTTTATATAGAGGGATGAAAAAAGTAATAATTCCTACCCAAAATGAGTGAAGCTATCATTTACATTTTATTTGTGCAATATAGCTAGATTCTGAATTCTAATTTGATTTATGGTATTTTGAATTATAAATTTGAGAAATCATGGAACTTCTTTATATACATTATATAAGCATATTATTCGTTCATAGAAACATGGAATAGTTGGCCCTATCAGCTTCTTTGCCATAACTCATACAAAGTTCTCCTTGAGCATAATTTTGAATCCCCTTATCAACTATACCTCCTTTTTCTAAAAAACCTCAAATTCATCGATGTCTCTCTAAAAGCACAGTGCTCAGCAGTGATCTGAGTGGAGTAGAGAGGGATTTACAACTTCCTTGTTTCAAATGTCATATTTGACTGTTAAGCCCAAGGTTGCTTTAAATTTGTCAGAAACAACTATTTGACTCAGTTAAAACAAATACCTAAGTCTTTACAAAATCGACTTATCTTACCTCAGGGATGAGCAATACAATGGATTCCTCATAAAATCAGTTTAGTTTAAAAGGTAAAGAAATCCTTTTGAATCTGTTGTAAATATGTATTATAATTATATCCAAATATGCATACCCAGAATTTGAGATGATGTACAAGGAAACAATCAAGGGAAAGGATAGACTCACAAGCTATTTTCAGGATTAAAAAATACATAAGGAACGTTTAGTGTTTATTGATAATAAGGGTGGAAGAAACTAAAATGTTGAGTGTTTTTCCTTTCAGTTGGAATCATATCAACTCAGTGTTGCAATAATGTTGCTCATTTTGTTGTTCTGTGGTTGTTCTGTGGTTGTTGCTCATTTTGTTGTGCATTTTGTTGTTCTGTGGTCACATGTGTATATGTATGTATATAGCATATATTTGTTTAATAAACATGAGAAAAATAAGTGAATTATCTTTAAATAAATGCAACATACCAGCTGTAAAAATTCCAGTGGAAACATTCTGGAATTGGTATCTTCAAAAGGTAAATAATCTAAAAATATGAATAAGTTTTAAGAAGATTTAATAAAGCTCCTGGTTGGAATTTACTGTGCTGGTTGTTAAATTTCAAAGGGCATTCCTCATCCACTGTGGCTGACAGAATATGGGCTGAAAGAACCATCCATACAACTTACGGCTTTTGTGGCTGTCTCTTTATGACTGTGGTCAAGTTTGTCCTTGAGACCCTCATACAGACAAAGCCCCTTCTGCATATGCCTCCTGTAACAGCCCCTTGGAAGCCCTCTTTTCCACTTTTTTAGACATTCATGAACAAACATTATGGTCAATGTTATGAAAGAAAAGCAACTTTCATTTGTCTCAAAAATTTATTTGCTACTTCTCCCCAATTTAGTTGGTAAGACTAAAAAAATCCTGTCATACATAATTTAAATTTCAGGTAAAGCAAATAGAGAAAATTCTGAGTTTTCAATTTGGAAACTTGTTTAGCCTTTCCTGGTGTTTCAGAGTACTCATCGAGCTTTAGTGTCTTGGTTTCAGAATGTGTGCTCAGCAGTTCTGGCCACCAGAGAGTTCCCTTGCTCAGGATCCTGCCTCCTCTGGTCGAAAGCCACAACATCTGAAATTATGTTTTATCATCATACTGGGATGCAGTTATCATCATTCTTTTTCTTAAAAATGACTAAGTTATTTTTCATTTTGTGTACATGTCATTATTCATACAGAAACCATTCATTGCCGTTGGGAATAGCATGGGCATTTTGAATTTTTTCCACTATTTTATCACTAATTACCTGCATCCCAATTTTTATTGTGGCAATACAAAAGGTTTTATATATGGGTTTCTTAGTATGTTTTTCTGAGTATCTTTATGGAGCACCAAACAATGGATATAATGTTAACAACATTAAGGGGTAACTAAAAGAAATTGTATCTTAACAAATTGGAGTTCTTTTTTAAGTAAAATAATTTTCTGAATATGTTTTGCTAGAGAGCATAAATTTCATTCTATGAATTACGTATGCCTTCAAGCAACTCCTCTGACAGCATAGTTTGGCAAAACTTCCCTTTGGTTAAGAAGGGGGCACGATATTCATAACCATTTCAAATTGTGGCAGGTGAAGGGAAAACCTAATGACATGAAGTGAGGCTGAGGGTAAACAAAAAGATAACTGCAAATGGAGTTCACAGGATACCACAGTATTTTAATCAATATAATTAGTACTTAATTCTCCTCTTTTCCCAATTGTAAAAAATTGAACTGAGCTCATTTATTTACACATAAACCTGATCTTTTGAGATGTTATACTAATGCAGAATAAAATAAAATAAATTTGTTAAACAAAAGTCTTGGGATTAGATTGCAACTTGTAAGTCATCTTCATATCTTGAATTCTATCTTAAATCTTTTCCAGTTTGTGAGGCATTTGGTATTCACTCCTAACTATGTAATAATCTAGATTGCAAGCAGAGTGCAGGCACTAGGCACGTGTTAAGAATTTTAGGCTGTTCTTTGCGAGAGCAAAGAGTTGCAAATTGAAACTAGCTGTGCCTTTCACTTATGATAGTGAATTTTTTCAATCAAGAAAGAAAGTCAGTTTGTAGGTTTAGGATGGATTGACTTGATTAAAGCAGATCCAGATTTTACTACCACTTCTGATTCTAATTTTTCTGCATGCTTTTATTTCAATTTAATTGCTAAAGAAATGGGATTTATATTTTAAATTTATTTTATGTATGCTATTTACCTATTGTCCTAGAAATGTTATTTCCTATCATAGGACACTCTTGATGTCTCTGTATTCAAGGTACAGGTTGTAGTGTGGTTAGATTTAGAGTTTAGCATCAGTGATCTCTGATATAGCTTTGTTAGGCATATTGAAATTTTTGTGGCAGTTTAAAAAATCATAAATGGATAATATATTCAAGTACTACATTTTGTTTCTTCTTTTTTCCATATTAGTTTTGGAGAGTTACTATAGAGGGGTCCTTTGTAGACATTTCTCTTTCCTGTCCTTTGATGCTCAAATTATTTTATATAAATTCAGAAACAATCAGATTGGCTGCCTTCATTTTATTTTTTGGAACTGATTTCCTCTTGATTGTAAATTTGTCACTGGGGAATCTTTTTCTCTTTTTAGGCCAAACAGCTGTTTTAAATTTTAGTTTTCTTTTCTTTTTTCCCCCATTAAGGAGGTCAGGTTCCTTTGGGGGGGAAACTTCAGTTCATTATGTTCTTTTCTTTTATATCAACATGCACAACAACAAAATACAAATTGCTTTTGGGTTGAGATTTGCTGTAATAGATTTAGTAGTATTCATTTAAATACCTTGGCATTTCCAAATGGTAGCACCACTTCCAACCCTTAGCAGAATTAGCAGCTTATTATAGCTAACTTATTTTATTCTGAAAATACAGAAAATACATTCTTAGCCATGTATTAGTGAGTCGTTGAAAAGAATGACATTTGTTTAGCTTTTGTTCCTATTTTGCTGTGCTTTCACATTCCCTTTATGTATATCCAGGTCTGATTAACACAAACCATTAACCAAAGCCTGTTTTAGATACTGTAGATGTTTTGGCATCTGTTCATTTTATAGACGCCAAAACATTTATAGAATGCCTATTCTTTTTATATAATATCTTGAATTAAGTGATTTTTTCATGTCTCTGGTTCTGAGAACCAATGAGCTCTCTTGGAATGAATCTATGTAATCACCATTAGTGACTGGCAACATAGATTTTGTTCTATTGCAGATCATTATTAGTTAAATTAGTAAAATATTGACTTACACTTAACTTGATGAAAAATAAGTGAAACTTAAAATAGTGAAACTCATAGATGTTTACAATATCTTTCTAAATGTCAGAATATCATCCAGGCCTAAGTAATCATTTTTTTTTTTAAGATGAAGTCTCGCTCTTGTCCCCCAGGCTGGAGTGGCATCATCTCAGCTCACTGCAACCTCTGCCTCCCGGGTTCAAGCAATTCTCCTGCGTCAGCCTCCCGAGGAGTTGGGATTACAGGCGCCTGCCACCACGCCTGTAAGTAATCTTACCTCTGTTCTCTTAATAAATGGAAATAGGACAAATATAATACTCATTTATATTCAAACAATCTATTTGCTCTTCCCTCCTTCCTTCCCAAGAATTTGAAATATAGATTGATTTAGTCCACTGAGATATGTATCATAGAAACGCAAAGAGAGTCAGTTATGTGTTGGGTGGGAAAACACATTTTAGCTTCCTGTAGCTTTATAATCACACCTCCAAATTTGAGTATGGGCAGAGAAAACCAAGAGTGTTTGCTATATGAAAGACCTTGCTTTTCTTCTATTTAATGTTTTCTCTTTCTAAAGTTTCAAAGATCTAGATAGTAACTAGAAAGTAGTAACTACTACTTTCAAAAGCACTGTGAAGAATGATGAAACCATGAGGACACGTGTATGATTTATCACCACTTTCTCTTCTCTGAACTATAAACTAAGAGATAATTTCCATTTATGATTGAAACCATGTAAGTCATCAAATTGTCAGCAACTTGAGGAGTTTTGGCCAGAAGGAGTGTGTGTAAGACCAGGTTAAGGAGAAGCACTTGAAGGCAACATATAGCTGGTTTGATGCTGTATCACAGGTGACAGTAACAAAACAAATTTGATGCTATATCACAAATGACAGTAATGAACAAAGCCACCTAAGCAGTAGTATTCAGAAATCAGGACAGATGTTTTTTCAAGTTGGCAAGTAGTACCCTCATGCATCTTGGTGACAGGAACTATTGCAAGAGATGGCAGACGTATTACAGAGCAACAGTCAAGAGACTGGCTGCAGTGAACTCCCCTCACAACGTAAGTTTGGTCTGAGAGTTGACAAGGCTATTCCTACATCAAGAAAGACAGCTGCTGATGTTAGGTCTGGAATCTGACATTGTACTTCACAAAACTGAACAACAAATGCATATAATAAAACTAAAGAGAAATGAGTGGATGAAGACATGCAATTTTTCCATCTTGAATTACTCATCTTTCCAATACTCTCTTCTCTCTCTCCCTGTCTCTTTCTCTCTCTCTCTCAGAGCAAAAGAGAGTTCATCAGGAACTAGAAAAACAAAACTAATACAAATAGATAAAAATGTATATTTATCTTTGTATGGGGTTCATAGGAGCCTATTAGTCATATCTCCACCTATTCTTAATTTCTTCTTTTTTTTTTTTGGGATGGAGTCTCGCTCTGTTGCCCAGGCTGGAGTGCAGTGGTGCGATCTCGGCTCACTGCAAGCTCCGCCTTCCGGGTTCATGCCATTCTCCTGCCTCAGCCTCCTGAGTAGCTGGGACTACAGGTGCCCGCCACCACGCCCATCTAATTTTTTGTATTTTTAGTAGAGACAGGGTTTCACCGTGGTCTCGATCTCCTGATCTCGTGATCCGCCCGCCTTGGCCTCCCAAAGTGTCTTAATTTCTTAACTAATTGAAATAGATGCAAGAGCCAACTGGGCATTGAAATACAGCATGAGGTTATTTTTTGATTGAAGGAAGCAGCTTAGACTCACATTGAGTGTTTTACAACTTCTCAAAATGAATTCAAGCAAACAGTTAATAGATGGACAGATGGAGATAGCAGACTTTCCCTTAAAAGGGCAGGATATGCCCTGGTGTTGGTTACTGGGCAAAATAGAAATAGAGAGAACAAATTTCATTTTTAAGAGCAAGTACCTTCAAGAGAGTTAAAACAGAGACCTAACAACAAGTAGGCAATGACCTTTCATATATTATTTCTATCTAGTGGAAAAAAAAAAAAACAAAGGATGCCAGGCTCTCATTAGTCTTTGTAGCTTCCTTTTCAATGAGGCAGAGAGAGAAGGGGCAGAGAATGGCAGAAATTATTTTCCAAAGTGCTTCACTGAGATGGCAGCAGAGCTGGTCAATGCTTCTATTTTATGGAACCATGAAGAAATACGGTGACTGGAGTAGATGTATTTCCTTCTATTATCCTGGAGAAAGTCTTGAACTTCAAATACCCAAGTATACACAAAAAAGCAGGTAATGTACAAAGAATGCAAAAATAAGGCAGACTTCAGATTCTGCAGAATTAGATATAAAAGAGCAGTGAGCAATACAAAGTACAAAAGATTCAAGAATATTTGGGCCGGGTGCGGTGGCTCACACCTGTAATCCTAGCACTTTGGGAGGCCAAGGCGGGTAGATCACCTGAGGTCAGGAGTTCAAGACAAGCCTGGCCAAGATGGTGAAACCCCATCTCTACTAAAAATATAAAAATTAGCCGGGCATGGTGGTGGGTGCCTGTAATCCCAGCTACTCAGGAGGCTGAGGCAGCAAATTGCTTGAACCCAGGAGGTGGAGGTTGCAGTGAGCCGAGATCGCGCCACTGCACTCCAGCCTCTGCAACAGAGTGAGACTCCATCTCAAAAACAAACAAATAAATACTGTATTCATCTAAGTAATCCTTCATGCTTGAAAGCAACAAAAAATGTTTGTACATCGGCAAAGTCTCAGAAAGTACACCATGTACTTCTGAGAGAAAGAAGTTCTTTTAATATAAATTTCAGCATGAAGTTACTGAAATGATCAGAAACAATTAAAACTAAACTATAATAAACTATGTAATAACTACATTATTATACTGCATAATGTCTTAGAAATAGTGAAAACCTGGACCTAAGTGAAAGAGGATGTCGAAAACTAATGCATGTCTCTCCAGAAACAATGCATATGACAAATTTCATTAGACCAAATAAGAAGATCCTGAAGACCTCTAGTCAATTATTCTTTATTTGGAAACATGACAATTGGGGAACAAGTTGGATATAATATCCAGCCCCTTACAGGGCAACAGGACAAAGATGGCTTTAGAAGGGAAGTGCCATTTTTACTTGCTTTGAGCTAGGAAAAATGGCCAAGACCTAGAGATTTGTTGATACTAAATTACAGCTAGAGAGGAGGAATAAGTTCAAGTGCTCTATGCCAGTGTCAGATGACTTCTTGGTAATGATTGCAGAATTAAATAAAGCAGTGTCTATAGAGTATTGAGGGCAAAGGGTTTGACCACAAAATTTTTAATGAGGCACAAATCACACATGTAAAGAAAATTGAAATGTGCTTATAATTATAGTATCCATGCATCTCCCTGAAAAAATTATTGAAGACAGAGTCATGTCAACTACAATATTAATCCCAAAAAACCTTGTGAATGAAACATCTTTATGTAAAGACTGGTGTTAAGCCTTGTATCCAACAGATAGTGCATCTTTTTGCAAGTTCTCTTGTAACATTTCCGAAAATCATGAACTAGTAGTGGGCCAAAAATAAAAGCATAAATGTATTTAAAAATTGAGATAATAAAAATTAAATAAGATGGCTAAACTATAATAAAACTAGAAAACAAAGCAAAATTAGAAACAAAAGTATCCAACCATTTGAACATTTAAAAAATATTTTCTCTCTTTGATTTCCCCATGGCTCAAAACAAAAAGCCAAAGCAAATTTCAAAACAACATATCAAAAATATGTGACAAAGATTCAGTTCTACAGGGAGAAAATTCATGGCAGTAAGCAATCATGAAATTGGAATTAAGTTAATTGCAAAGAATGGAATTAAATTAATTAAACAATGAACCTAAGACTTTTTATTAAGAGCAAGAAAAGCAAAGTTAAGGAAGGCTAAAAGATACTGTGATTGAAATGAGTTTTGGCTGGTGTACAAGGAGAGAGCTCAGTAGAAGAGAGAGTCTAGATAGAAAAGATTTACAGGATGGAAAGTTATTGCTTCTGCATCCCAAATAGTAAAGAAAGACTGAGAAAATCATTGAACAACAGGCCCAGTAGTTTCTCACTTGAAGAAAATTAATCAGTCCTATAGCAAAGAGAAGTTTGAGGATAGGATCTTCGGGGCCATGTTTTTCAGATGGTCTCAAGGGAGCCACAATTGAGATAGAAGTGAGACATTTAGAAAAGAACTTTGGATATGGCAATTATTATACAGAACTGAACAGAAAGCAAAAGAATAGAAACCTAATACACACTTGATGGAAGAACATGAACAGGGACAAAACCAAAAAGAACCTTTCACTGCATAAGTGAAGTGAAATAATCTTTAGTTAAAATAATCTTGAGTGCCCCCCTAATGTCTTCTCAGGAATATTTAATAATTGCTGTGAATTAGTAACTGCTCTTTTTTTCTTCTTAATTTTTGCAAATAGTGTTCCCCTCCCCCCCTCCCCCCCGCCCCATGCTGTTGTCTTGTCTGTGGAGCAAGAAATAATTGGCTTTTTTAGTTCATAGATCACTGAACCCACAGAAACCTCATTCCAGATCTGATGGAGGGAACTGTCCTTTACTTAGAGATCCTGAATTTTGAGATGAGCATTCTGGTTGTTTTCCTGGAGGAGTGGGTGGATGTATTCTCTGTTTGGAAAGATAGGTACAATTTGGAGATTCAAGAAGAGACTTTGGCAGCTATAGCTTAGTCGTTCACCAAACATAGTTTTCTTTCATCCAGTGCATTGAGCTCAGCCATCATTCTCAGTGTCCCCAGGAACAAACTGTGGCAATGCGAATGAGTTCCTACAAATGCAGTGTGAACAGAAGGCTTGACACATAACACTTCATACATATGCTACTTCAAGGGCTTTTGCCTTTTGCCAAATAAGACTGTCTTCATTGGAAGCCATAGATTGGGAATGGCAGAGCCACAGTTAGAAGAAGCATGGTCCTTGAATCACAAATTAGTGGTGAGCGATCACTATTCAGAAACACCTGTTTTATGCTGTATATGCAAAATAAATTATTTTATATTTGGAGCATTTGCTCTGGAGGCTTTGCTTCTTATAGAAACTATTGCTCATTTATCAATATATGGTACATAACTTTTAATTTATTCTACTATTATTAGAATTAATATTTTTCTTTATATCACATATAAAGAACCTATTCTGTGCTGTTCTTGGTCCAAATAACTTACTATTTCCTTAGAGTTTCTACATAAGAATTGGCTGTGTGAAAACATAGAATATTTTTAAAGATTTAATAAACAGCACCAAAATTCTCTCTAGAAAGATTGTGCCAATTTTATAATCTCAAGAGAAATGAATAAGGGGAAATAATTTTTTAGACAAATATTCTCTCTTTCTATGGCCCTGTTGTGAAAAACTTTTAATTTTTTTTGTTTTAATGTATTATCGGCTTCAGGGCTATGGATTCTGATTTCTGTGTTGTCCAGACACAGATCCCCCTCTTCAAATTATTGTAGTTTGATCAAATGTCTTAATATTTTGTGGTATGGTATCTCACTCATTTCTTTTTCTAAAATGCCTAGCTTATTTCTAGCCACAAGTTCTTTCTATGACCTTTAGAAACAATTTGTTATGTTCCCTTAAAAGTTCCATAGGGAATATCATATAGATGCATTTATTTAATAAATAGTTCTAAGAAATTGAGTATATTTTAAATATTTAGCATTTCCAAGCTAGGGTATTTTCACATTTGTTTTGTTAATCTACAGTAAGCAGGATATTTTCACATTTGTTTTGTTAATCTACAGTAAATTTGTGTACTTTTCTTTGTATGCTTTTGTGCATTTGTTATTCAAATTTAAGTAAAAGTATTTTATAACTTTATTGTAAGTATGACTGGAAGGCATGAGATTTAAACTCACACAGTTAACATGTTTTAAAAATCAATTGTACTTGTAGCATTTTCTGTGCTAAAGATTTTTCTTTCTTATTTTTTCATAAGTTAATATGAAACTAAAAACATAATACTCCCATCCATTTGGTGTTTAGTCTGGTTAATATTGCTATATACTTTGAAATACAGAAATTAATGATTTCATTACATGTTTTACTGGTCCAACTACTTTTGACTACTGTAACTAGCTATGGATGCTGCACAGTAAGACAGGTTTATAAGGTAAAATTGTCTAGCAAAGGAAGATAAAGATTGTGAAGATTCTGGGAAATATTCCAAACATGAAATAATTTTAAAAATTCAGACTGTTTAGCTCAAAGAAGGGAAGGTTTAACATATTAGATGTTACAAAATATGTTAAGAGTTGTCCTGCTGAACGAGTAGATTCTTTAGAGGTCTGTTATATGACAAAATTAGGACCAACAGATAAAGATTCAGTGATAGCAATTTTGATACAATGTTAAGTGAAACCTTGTAACTTCTAGAAAAGTATAAAAGGGAACAGGTCTATTTTCTAAGGTGCCGAACTCTGGCTGGAGCTGGTCGGGCCATCTGTCAGGGATGCAGGGTAAGACATTCTTAAACTGGGTCGAGGCCTGGCCTCAATGACCTTGGGTCCCATCCAGCTGTGATTCTTTCATTAAAATGTCACGCAGTGAAGGTGGTCCCTGCAGTTGTGGAGCCTCATTTTAGTCATTTCAGCAGTCAGCACTAGTGCCAACGATGATTTTATTCTTCTATCGGTTCTGTCCTGTCAAAATTCTGTTTGTGCAGAATAACTCCCTATTCCCTGCACGTGCAGTTGAAAATTAGAGTTTGCAAAATTGGGAGTTTCCTTCTTATATTTAAATGGTTGTTCTAACAGTGACACAATTTCCCTTGCCACAGTTTTTCATCCTTTAAAAAAATTCCTACCATACCATGTAGAAATCATTTTTAAATAATCTCAGGTTCTCAGCCCAAAATACAGAACCTTTTTTTTTTTCACCCAAAATTTGTGGCATCTAGAATGGAAGTCATCAGAATAATAGCTCTTTACAATTCAGGGTATTTATTACATCAAGTGTGTTATACAATAATATCTTATTTGAGGAGAAATCTTATGGTACCCCTTCTATGTCTAAGCTTATGAATTTAAAAAGGAATCAAATCTATATTGTATGCCAGTATCACAATATCACATGTACTCCATAAATATGTACTTTTATTATGTATCCAAAAAATTAAAAATAAAAAAGAAATCTAAGAAATAATATATCATGTAGGGATATTATAACTGCTATAACATTGTATATATGTCCTCATTTGGAGTACAAATAAAATGAAGATCTGAAGGAATTGGCCTTTAAAACTTGATCTAGTTCTTTTCTTGGAGGGAAGATGGTCATACCATTTACCACAAACTAATTCCTTTGTCATGTGCTTGCTGTGCCCTGGTGCTCAGGCAACACCATGCTGGTGTTGATTTTCTTAAATTTTCAAATAAGGAAAAAAAGCATTAATACTCCTTTTCAGAGCATTCTTGTTTTTATTTCAGGGATCTTTTTTTTTTTTAAGAGAATCATTCTCTTCGGGCTCTGAAAGGTCTGAAAATTCTGGGTGATGGTGCATTCCCTGTCTTGTGCTGTCACACTATCTTGGCTCATCAAAGGAGGCTGAGAGCCTGACAATTTGCTCCCTGGTGCCTGAACAGCCAGTTTTGTATCGCCTTTCCTGTGATGTCTCCCTGTCCCTTTTCCAATCCTCCTTGCTCTGGGGCCTACATCCTGTGTCCTTGTCCACCCGCCACCCTTCCCTTTTTGAGTACAACATTTATTGCCTTCTTAGCTTTGGAGTATAATAAAGTATATAGACTCACACACAGACCATTTCTGATTATTAGTCCTTGTTCTCATAGTTTATTTTGGTAGTGATCTTCACCTCATTTTACTATAACTGGCTTTTATTTCATTTTCCCTCTAAAGCCAGACCCTCACCCCAACTACTTTTTACATTGGTGTTTAGCATTCTAGAAGCTTATGCTCCATTCTATACTGGTTTTATACCAGTTTAGTTTGGCCAGATGTCTAGTGCTGCTCTGAGAAAGTTCATTATATGTCATTTATGGATACTTAAACATAGTCATGTTCATAATTTAATCCTATTTTTTTTTACTTCTGTAGCATCAAAGGATGCATCTCTTTTGAAAATTATAGTTATATTTTAATAAAGTCGCCTTTTATTCCTAACTGATTTCTATTACCTACAGAATTAGCCTTCTTCCGTATCTTAATGCTCATGTGATATAGTTTCTAGATTCCATAGCATCCTCTGAAGAGTCTTCATACCAACTCTCCACTAGACGTGTTTCATTTTATCATATATATAACTTTTTTTTTGAGATGGAGTCTTGCTCTGTTTCCCAGGCTGGAGTGCGGTGGCACTATCTCAGCTCACTGCAGCCTGCGCCTCCTGGGTTCAAGTGATTCTCCTGCCTCAGCCTCCTGAGTAGCTGGGACTACAGGCATGTGCCACCACACCCAGTTAATTTTCGTATTTTTAGGAGAGCAGGGTTTCACCATGTTGGCCAGGATGGTCTTGAATTCCTGACCTCAGTTGATCTGCCTATCTTGGCCTCCCAAAGTGCTGAGATTACAAGTGTGAGCACTTTAAGGCTCACTACACTAAATCCAATATTCCAGAGACAGGCCTCTTCTCACTCATGCACTAAGGAACTGTGTGTGACAAGTTTACCGTGGGAGGAATATAAAGTGTGAGAATCAAGTTGGGAGGAAATGAGGCTGGAAAAGTAAGCTGGGGACAAATCATGAATCATTTTGAGCCCACGCAAAGAAATTTTGGATTTATACTATATAGGCATAAGGGTTATTACGGAAGGCAATAACAAGAATGGCTCATTATTTGTGCTATTGTTTGAAGTTTAGTATATTATTCCTATATTTAAGTGCGAAATCTTAAGTGTACAACTGGATGAATTTTTGCATATATCTTTACCCCTCTAACCAGCACATAAGTCAAGATACCAAACATTTCTGGCCCTTGAGAAGGCTCCGTCCGTCAATAGATAATTTTTTACATCGTGGGTTAGCTCCATTCTGACCCCTAACTTAATGTTAGTTTTGTCTGTTCTTATATCTGTATTTTCAGAAACATGCAAAATGTTTCTTATAGTGTTTTTCCATGTGTATTTGTTAGATGAATGAATGAATGAGAGAAAAGGGTGAGGCAAAGAGCACAAGATTTCTATTCAGGAAGCTAATTTCATTAATGCATTTTTTTTCATTTGTTTAACTGATTATGAATTTGTCTAATTGAACTTCATCCAGGCCATAAGTTTTTGTCTTTTACATGAGGATATCATTAAGATACTTATTAAAATGATATACTAAAATTGAGGTAAAGTATAACTATGAAATTTCTCTAAATTGCCACTTTAAGAATTTTGTCAATAAAGTATATAATTTTATTTTCATAATTTGCTCATAACAAATCATTTGAGGTCTTTAATTTATCCCTTCAATTACTCATAAATTGTCTATATAATAATGAATGGTGGAAGTTTTTCTGGATTTTGTTATTTATATAATAATCTCATCTAGCATAGTGTCTAGAACATATTAAAAATAAGTATGAAATATGTTTGATGAAGTAAACTGAATTGTTGCAACTTAGTCTTTTTTCTTTTATATTTGTATTTTTAATTGACAAAAATTATATATATTTATGGTGTACAGCATGATGTTTTGAAATGTATATACATTGAGCAATGGCTAAATTGAGCTAATTAACATATGCATTACCTCATATATTTATCTTTTTATGGTGCTGAGAACACAATCTACTCTCAACAATTTTCAAGAATACAATTTATTCATATTGACTATAGTCATGTTGTACAATAGATTTCTTATTCCTCCTCACTAAAGTTTTGTGTCCTTTGACCAGTATCTCCCTGACCTACCCTCTGAGTCCCCCACTTACAACCTGTGCCCCTGTTAATCACTATTCTAGTCTCTACTGTTTTTCTTCCCCCACTTTCAACTTTTATTTTACGTTCAGGGGAACATGTGCAGGTTTGTTACATGGGTAAATTGTGTGCTTGGTGTACAAATGATTTTATCACTCAGGTAGTAAGGACAGTACTCTCGCCTTCTGCCATGAGTGGAAGCAGCCTGTGGCCCTTGCCAGGTGTAGATGCCCTATCTTAACCTTTTGCAAGTAATTCCAAAGGCCTGAATTGGGCTAGGATGAAAATGAGACAATGCACAGCAGTAATATTAAGAAGCAAATATCAGCAGAAATTGATGGTGTTTTGGGTGCAAGGAGTAAAGTGAGTGAGATAAATAAAAAGATAATAATAAGACATATCAAATGCCATGATACAGATAAGCTCAGAACATTATGTAAGTTCAGGGTAAGGCATCTAATCTATTTCAAGGACATTGGGTATGGCCGAGGAGAAGGAGGCATCAGATTTACTCACTTGAAGGTTGTTAAGCAGTGGGCCAGCTGCAGAATTTTAGTGGATTTTAGAGACAATGAGAGAAAGCTGCTTTTTTAGATCCTGGTTATAGAAGGAGAGCAATTGCTATGAGGCAATGGCTAAAAAATCATGACAAGCCATGGAAGGAATTTTGAATGTAATGGTAGTGACTAGAGACTATGTGCATCCTAAAGTGGAAGGGCCATGAGAAAGTGAGAATAATGCACAGAAATGATGGGGTCATCTGTGGATCACCATTCTGGAGAAGATAGATTTCAGGGTGCAGGGCATGAAAAATCAGATTACTGCTTCCTCTGCACCAGGGTAAACAAGATATGTATGGGTGCAGCTATTGGTGAGGAAGCAGGAGTTCAGAAATGGGTTCATAATGGACTCAAACTTTTTCTGTGATATCAGAAGAGAAATAATCTTCTGTGAGGTGAGAGCATGTTGAGACAGAGAACATGAGGGTAAAGGCAAAATTTGAAATGGCCATTCAAGGAACTAGGAGTGGGAGCTTATTCAGAATATGTAATTGGATGACTAAGTTGTTTTGAAAGAACATATGAAAACGTATAATATGAAGTTTTGTTGGGATAATGTAATAATCTATATGGTTGTGTGAGTGTGTGTGTGTGTGTGTGTGTGTGTGTGTATTTAGATGTGCTTGGCATCCAGAGCAGTTATTTTGCCAGGATACATTGAAAGAAAACAAAAGTAGGCCAGATGCAGTGGCTCATTCCTGTAATCCCAGCACTTTGGGAGGCTGAGGCGGGCGGATCACGAGGTCAGGAGATGGGGACCGTCCTCCTGGCTAACACAGTGAAACCCCGTCTCTACTAAAAATACGAAAAAAATAAAAAATAAAAAATAAAATATATTAGCTGGGCGTGATGATGGGCGCCTATAGTCCCAGCTGCTACTTGGGAGGCTGAGGCCGGGGAATGGCATGAACCCGAGAGGCAGAGCTTGCAGTGAGCTGAGATTGCCCCACTGCACTCCAGCCTGCGTGACAGAGCAACACTCCATCTCAAAAAAAAAAAAGTATAATTGTGGAGGGTTATGAACCATTGAAAATGGGGAAGAGGGTGGTATCAGAATTATTTGGCAAGCAAAGAGAGATAGCAAAATTTTAATGACAAAAAATTGTCATTTTCTGGAAAATAAAAGGATATTGGGGTTTTGTTTGCTGCAGTGAAACAGTAGTTGCAGGCTGACCATGGGAGTGGTTGCAAAAGTCAAGTGAAAATCAAGCCTTTTCAGTTGGGACAATCAGCAAACTCTAAAGCCATTAGGTCTTAGAAGAGTCATCTACATTATTTGGGGGTCTCTCCAAATTATGACTCCTGTAGTTTGGATATTTGTCCCCTGAAACCTCATGTTGAAATTTGATCTGTAATGTTAGAAATGGGGACTAATGGGAGGTATTTGGGTCATGAAGGCAGCTCCCTCGTGAATAGATTAATCCCCTTCCTGGGGGAGGTCACATGAGTGAGATCTCACTCTCACTCTATTAGTTTCCAGAAGAGCTGGTTGATAAAAGGAGTCAGGCACCTTCCCTCTTGCCCTTGCTTCTCTCTCACCATGTGATCTCTGCACACGCCATCTCCCCTTCACCTTCTGCCATGAGTGGAAGCAGCCTTTGGCCCTTGCCAGGTGCAGATGCCCAATCTTGAACTTTTGCAGACATCCGGATCATGAGCCAAATACATTATTTTCTTTTATAGACTACCCACCCTCAGGTATTCCTTTATAGTAAAACAAACTAAGACAATGGCACTGAGGAAAATTAGGAGGTAGATGCCAAACCTTTAAGGTGGTATGTACGTTAAAGGAAAATTTGCTTTTGAAAGCTTTTTTTTAAAAAGACATTTTTTCAGTGTCACCATTAGCCTATTATGTTTAGCAATCAGCAGCATGGGTGCAAAAAAAAATCTACATTAAACATTTTGTTGGAATGCCGTATGTTTTCCACAAAGCAGAAACTAAAATAACCTGTTATGCAATTAGTTACAAATTTAGTTCTTGAGTCTTTTGCCCATACACATGAGTATTGTCTAAGGCATGTCTTGTAGCAGCTATGTCCTGCCACCACAGGGCTTGGCTGAATTCACAAATCTGTTGTAAACTGTAACTTTCCTGTCACTTCTCTGGCTCTTTTCTCCACTAAACTTTGTTTCCTGGCAGAAATTAAAACCTTCTGCCACTGTCATAACTACTGCTGCTATTGGAACCATCATTGTAGCCACTATGGTTTTGTGGTTGGGCAAAGTGTTGACTTCCACCATTAAAGGGTCTAGAGCTTCTGCCTCCAAAGTTTTCTCCCCTCGTGGCTTCAAAATTTAAGGATTGCTTATTGTAATTGCCAAAATCCTTGTAGTTTCAACCACGTCTCAAACTGCTCCCATCATTATCAATTCCATTATAGCCATGCCCACTGTCACTGTATCCACCACCACCATGATTGCTACCAAAACCTCCTCAACCACTGTGGCTTCCTCCATGACTCAAGTTGTCATCCCCATCGGAATTACCTCCACAACTTCAGCCAAAGCTTCCAGAACTACTTTAACCTCTTTGGCTGGATAAAGCACCAGCCATTTCTTGTTCAGACAGAACTTTTTTACTTCACAGTTGTGGCCATTCAAAGGATAGTATTTCCAAATGACAGTCTTATCCATGTAGGCATGGTCATCAGAGGTTACAGAAGCAGAGCCCCTCTTCTTGCCATTGCCTCAGACAGTTATGATTTCAATCACTTTAATGTTTACATACTGTTCAAAATAATTACTTAGGCATTATTTTTCAGTGTCTTCTTTAATGCCACCAATAAAGATCTTTTTTTACAGTTAAGCAGGCCCCTGGTGTTTGAGAATCTTCTCTTGAGACAACCCTGTTTGGTTCCACAACTCCTTCATCCACCTGTGTGTCCTTGCATTCAAGCTGCATCCACTTCCACCCACCTCCACCACAGTGGCATATGTGACAAACCCAAAGCTTCCCGAGCATTTGGATCACTTATTGCTGTACAGTCCAGTAAGCATTCTCCATTGCTCAGAATGGCTTCTCAGACTCATTGGTTGTTTTAAAGCGCAACCTTCAAACAGATGAAGAGTTTCCTCAGCTGTTTAGGCTCTTTAGGAGACTCTGACTTAGACATGATGGCAGCAGGAGAAGAGATTTAGAGATGCTTTCTCCATGGCATTCACCAGTAGAAAGCTTGAAAACTTTTAACTATCAAAAAGTAAAATGTAATGCAACACTTTTGGTATTGTAAATCCTGTATTATTTGGCTTCCTGTGCCCGAGGTTCTCTTAAGTAACAGTGGGGAAAATAGATTCCAAAAAACGATGACAAACAAAAATGAATGAACGAATAATGGTGGGTCTATGAGGGTAGTAGAAAAAAGAGAAAAGAAAGTTTTGAAGAGATACTCCAGGGTTTGTCATGCTTGAATGTCCACTGCAGTTCTGCCATTCCTGACCAATGAAATTTGGCCAAGCTAATGAATCAGATTGCTCATCGGTAAAATAGAGGTAATATTGCAACTATTGTATATGGTAGTAGTGACAATTAAATATCACCTGTTGTGTACTTAAAATAGTGTATGGCAGCAAGTGCTTAAGAAATGTTAGTATTTATTATCACTGCTTTTTATTTATCTAAATCATAATTAAGATGACAAACACTGCAAAAAGGAAAACAGATCATAATAAAGCCATATATATATATATATACACACACACACAAATATACATATCAGTATTTATAAAAATGTTCCGTTTAATCATGCAAATAATAGGGTCTTGGTAGGCAGTCTCTTTCTATTTTCCACAAATTCAAAGCATTGTTTCTGAATAGGCTCAACTCTGACTGTAGGGCCCCTTTTTGATATCTGCAAGAATCACCAGCAACAGAATCACCAGGACACAACCTAGCATTTCAGAGTTAGAATCCTTCTGCTAGAAAGTGGAAGAAAAGGAAAGATGTCATTTACAATGTTGATTTTAGGGACAGCTCGTTCATCTCAAAGAGATCAGGCTCCCTGCTCTCAGAAAATCTTGGGATTAGGCTTTTTTGTCCTCTTTCACGATTGCGTCCTTTTAATAAAATGAATGAATGTATCAGGAGAGGAAATAATAATTATAAAAATTTTTAATGTATTATTATTTAAGAATATATTTCCTAGAAATAATTACTGCAAATTTTTAAGAAAGTTGAGGCTCAGATTTAAATAGATGAAAAGAATAGTCTGTTCTTAACACTTTCAACAAAGTTATAAATATGCATATTTCTGAAGAGCTAAGATTATTTTTAATTCAACAGAAAGAAACTGATGAAATATTTGTATTCCCTGTACATGTGAGCTTGTACTGCATTTACTACCATGACATGCAGTGAGTCTAGAATTGGCCTGGATGAGTATGTCATCCCTAGGCCTGGATTCTTTTCTTGGGAATATTGAAGGGGATTCTGCTTACTGTGGGAAGAAAGTTTTCCTTTAATGATGAATTTATCTACCCGATTAAAAAAATACATATATATTTTTGGAATTTGTTGAGTGGGTTGTGTTCTTACTATTCTTGGTACACTGACTGTGTCTCCCACATTTAGCCTACCACCTTACCTCTCAAAACAATTGTTACCAGGTACCCAAATTGTCTTTCTCCCAGTCATTATCAGTGTGTAAAGATCATCTGAGAAGTGATAAAAGGGAGTCTTTAAAAACTTTAAGTTTTCCACTTTGGGAGGCCAAGGCGGGTGGAACATTTGAGGTCAGGAGTTCAAGACCAGCCTGGGCAACATGGTGAAACTCTGTCTCTACTAAAAATACAAAAATAAGCCGGGCGTGGTGGAGAGCACCCAAAATCCCAGCTACTCAGGAGGCTGAGGCAAGAGACTCGCTTGAACCTGGGAGGCAGAGATTACAGTGAGCTGAGATCGTGCCACTGCACTTCAGCCTGGGGGATAGAGTGAGATTCCATTTAAAAAAAAAAAAAAACAGAAACTTTACGTTTTCATTTAGAAAAGTTTTCCATGAATGTTGTGTGATTTTTTTTTTTTTTGGAATTATGAAAGCAGATGGCCTTATGGTGTAAGCACATAATCCTGACAACAGAATCCTCCTTCATCACTCATTCACTTAACAAATGTAATAGTACTTATTAAGCACCACCAAATATCAGCATTGTGGTAAACACTGGGTTTACAAAGATGAAAAACATTCTTGCTTTCGAGGAACTTAACATTTGGTTGGCTTCTAGTGTTTGGAAGCAGAGAAGCACATTGGCAAATTATATTATTTAAATAGATTAATATTCTTTAAGAACTTATGGCAGATCATCCATACACCTTTTACCCTTAATATTGTAAAAATTACATTATTTGCAATATTAGAGTTAAAAATATTTTTATACCATTGTTTTCTTAAACTACAAAAGTTATGCATGTACACATAATTATATTAATTCAAAATAATATAAAACATACTGGTTAAAGGATGAAAAATCTTGCTTCTCATTTTTCTTTCCTTTTCTCTTCAGTTTTCTTGGCCAAAGGCAAAAAATACTAACAGTTTAGGTGTATTCTTTGCAAGATTTATTTAAAAAGAATGAACGTCTTGGTGTGTGTCTTCTCATCCAGGAACGTGAGGTTTTGCTGCATTTAGATATTTTTCTACTATGTTTTCTAATTTGTTGTTGCCAATGCATTTAGATATTTTTCTACTATGCTTTCTAATTTCTTGTTGCCAATGAATGGAGAAGTTATTTTTGATTTATATATTTCCACCTTTAGCAACATTACCATCTGCTTATATTTTTTCCAATATTTCTTTTTTTTTTTTTTTTTTTGAGACGGAGTCTCGCTGGAGTGCAGTGGCATGATCTCGGCTCACTGCAAGCTCTGCCTCCCGGGTTCATGCCATTCTCCTGCCTCAGCCTCCCGAGTAGCTGGGACTACAGGTGCCCACCACCACGCCCGGCTAATTTTTTTTTGTTTTCTTTTAGTAGAGACGGGGTTTCACCGTGTTAGCCAGGATGGTCTCGATCTCCTGACCTCGTGATCCACCTGCCTCGTCCTCCCAAAGTGCTGGGATTACAGGCATGAGCCACCGCACCCAGCCTCCAATATTTATAATTTGAATCTCTATATGTTCTAGAAAAATATAAATGCCATCTATACATAATTATATTATCTTTATTTTTAGTGTTCATTATTTTCCCTTACTGCACTTCTTGGATCTCGAGAACAATGTTGAGAAGTAGTCATGGCGTTTCAGTCAAGACTTGGTTGCAAATAGCATATATTAAACTTAGCTAAACAGTGGAAGTTATTATGAGATTCACACAGTTGCAGAAAGAAGAGTCATTGTAGCTTGGCCTGAAGAACAATCTAAATTAGTAACTGAAATTCAGCCAGCACTTGTCTCAATAGCTCAATTTTTAATTTTCCCTCTATTTTGGCCTCCGTTCTACAGCTGCTGACTTCCCCTCTACTGACGGAGATCATAGATACAGAGCTCTTCATGTTTCATATCTCAAAACTTTTGCTACCACTTGGGATTGAATCTCTTTCTTCAGCTTCAGTTCGAAAATAATCCAGAAAAGAATAATGATTTTCTTGGCTTACCTAAGAGTTTTAGCCTTAAACAATGACCTAGAGATTGGTGGCACCCTTCACTCCTACCATATACTTGTCTTGCTGTGGGGAGAAATTCCCTACAGAAAAGAGTTATTTTCTAGACGAAAGGAATAGTGCTGGGCAAACAAATAAAAGATGTTCACTGTAGTGGATGTCCTAATCTTTTTGATGTCTTTAAAGAGAGGCCGGGCGTGATGGCTCATCCCTGTAATCCCAGCTCTTTGGGAGGCGGAGGCGAGTGGGTCACGAGGTCAAGAGATAGAGACCATCCTGGCTAACATGGTGAAACCTCGTCTCTACTAAAAATACAAAAATTAGCTGGGCGTGGTGGCATGCACCTGTAGTCCTAGCTACTCGGGAGGCTGAGGCAGGAGAATCACTTGAACCTGGGAGGCGGAGGGTTACAGTTAGCTGAGATCACACCACTCCACTCCAGCCCGGGCGAAAGAGTGAGACTCCATCTCAAAATAAATAAATAAATGAAAATAAATAAATAAATAAACAATAAAGGGATTGCAGCAAATATATGTTTATGTAGTGTGATGTGTGATAAGTGCTATAATTTTCTGGTTGATGCATTTTATAAGGTAAGGAATTGGTGTTAAATATGTATATAATGTGTTTTCAGCATTTGTCTAGATGATCTTTATATTGTACTTTAAAGTCTATTTTATTTTATTAGGCCTTCTTTAACTTTTTAATCATGTTAACAATACTTTTATTTTCTTTATTTTGTTGAAGACACTTAACTTGAGATCTAGACCCTCTTAACAAATTTTTATTTGCACAACACAGTATTGTTAACTGTAGGTACAGTGTTGTACAGGGGATCTCTAGAACTTATTCACCTTGCATAACTGAAACATTACACCCATTGAACAGCAACTGTCTCTTCCTCTCTACCCCAGCCCCTGACAACCAGCATTCTACTCTCTGTTTCTATGAGTTTGTCTATATTAGACCCTTCATGTAAGTGGAATTATGTGGTATTTGTTCTTCTGTGCCTGGCTTATTTTAGTTAGCATAACATATTCCAGATCTATTCATGCTGATGCATATAGCATAATTTCCTTCCTTCTTTTTGAAGTCTGAATAATATTCCATTGTGTGTGTGTGTATATATATATACCAGATATTATTTATCCACTTATCCGCTGATGGACCCAGGTTGTCTTTATACCTTGGTTATTGTGAATAGCGCTACAATAAACATGGGAAAGCAGATATCTCTTTGAGATCCTGATTTCATTTTTTTTTTTGTTTTTGCTATATACTCAGAAGTGGGATTGCTGGATCATATGGTAACTCCATTTTTAATTTTTTGAGGAACCTCCATATTGTTTTTCATAGTGGCAGCATCATTTTATACTCCCATGAGAAGTGCACAAGAGTTACAATTTCTCCACATCATTGCCAACACTTCTCATCTTTCTATTTTATAGTAATAGTCATTCTAACAGGTGTGAGGTGATAGCTCGTGTCATTTTAGTATGTAAAAGGTTTTAAACAGGACCAGGCTTCTCTTGCTTTAATTCTTGCTTCCTCTGCTTTTTTTTTTTTTTCCTCGTTTTTTTTCCTCTTCCCCTTACTCCTCCCTGTCCTCCTTTTTTTGGCTATTTCCTCCCTCTCCAAACATTGACAAACTATAGGTTTGGAAAAATATCTCTTAAAAGATCTGTTCTGATCTTTTGTTGGGGTAAAATTTAACCAATCATTTCAATTAAAAGGTATGAATAACTTGGAACAATTTCTAACTTTTTCAGCTGTAAATTTAGTAGCAGTCAGAGATGAAGAAAGCTGCAAACTGGACCAGAACACATGGACACATATTCCTCTTCTCCTCCTAGAAAAGCTGCAATCCTGTTGTGGCTCAGAGTCACCTGTAGAGTACCTATAATGCAGGTGCTATGTATATCAGCTGAGTAAAGCCATTAGCCTCTGTTTAAATCATTTCAACTACTTTTTTCCCACCTGACAAACACAAATAGTGCAGTTTATGGTATTCTGAGATTCATAGTGATGAAGATTATTGGCATTCTGCGAAAACTCTCCTTATTATTCTAATTCACAGCAGGACTGGATTTTTTGACTTTATTTATATTTTTGTATCTTTTTTTACCAATGGGATTGAACTACAATTTTCTTGTATTACTAACCATTTACATTTTGTAATACAAGATCTTGCCAACATTGAGGGGTCTTCTGTATTTTCTATCTTATGAAAGACTTTTCTATATCATGGGAATTAACTACATTTTGATGATTTAAAAATACTTGGAAATAAAGTTGTTGGGGGTTGATATATTTTTAAAGAGAGAGTTTTTAATCTTCTATGATTTTCCAGTCATATTGAGTAACTTTTGTTATTTCATATTTTCTTCAAAACTTGTTTTTGTTTTTGAATTAATAGATAAAAATTGCATGTAGTAATCTCCCATCATTTATGAAATATTTTTCCATATCTGTAGTTATGCTGCTTTTTTCATTCTTTAAGGTGTATATTTGTGATTTCTCACTTTTTTATGGAGGCAAACATGTGGTTTGTTACAATAAACTCTTCAAAGAAGCAGCTATTGCTTTTATTTGTCTATTATTCTTCTTCTTACTGTTAGATTTTCTACTTGATTTATTTCTGCTTTTATCTTTGTTAACTCCTCTCTGTGAGTTGTGCCCTATTTTATTTTTCCTTGATCTGTTAATTTTCCTTGATCCTTGAATTGAATGTCTAATTAATTTTTTCAGTCTTTTTTGTTTTCCAAAGTATATGTTTTGGATTATGCAAATTACTCTTAGTAGCACTTCAGCTCTATTCAGCAGGCTTTGATATGTAGTACTTTTCTAAATAATTTATAATGTTAAAATTGATATTCTCTGTAACCCTACTGTTATGTTGAAGTGTGTTTTTTATATTTAAGAGGATAAATTTATTTTGTATGCTCTTTGTTTTTCATTTCCAACAGCCAATATTCTGGCAAGATGTTTGAAGCAAGTGTGAGTCTAGTTTAAATGATCTTTCTTCAGCTTTGTGACACTTTATTTGTTTTCTTTTCTCGATTCTCTTTGTTCTCTTTCTCTGGAACTACTATTATATGGATGTCCAAAATGAGTCTAGCTTCCATGAGAAAGCTTCTCATGCTATTTCACTCTTTTTCCTTTTTGACTGCCTTCTGGGGGAACTCCTTTGGCACTATTACTAGTTAGCTTTCTAATTCAATTTTAGCTAAGTGCATTCTACTATTCACCTATCTATGATTTTGTTTTAAAAATCAAGCAATAGTTTTTCTCATTTTAATTACTTTGATTATTCCTTTCTAAATGGCAGTGTTTCTCAGGATGCCAAGTTTTATCAAATTTCATTGTAGATACTCACCATAATTACTTAATTTTTAAAAAATTGGTTATGTGCTTGTTGAATATAGTAATTCTGTTTAGTACATTTAGTTATTTTATAACTTTGCTTTCCTAAAATACTTAGAGATTCATGATATAATTCATTTTGTACATAAGTGTCTATGTTATTCGTTTAGTTAGGTTGAATATTTATTATAAGCTCCAGTTAAAATTACGTTTATCCAGCAGAAAAAAAATTTTCTAAGTTAGTAGTTATGTTACTTCTCTGTACTTAAAGTTGTTTGTCTTCTAACTTTAAAAAAAATGAGATTTGGCATAAAATTTTCTGTGATATTAGATTCTTCAAAGTACCAGTCTTTGCTGAAAAGTACCAGTACTTTTTAAATTGCTATTCAATAAAAGAAGCCTGGTTTCTCTCTCCTCTCTCTCTCTCTCTCTGTGTGTGTGTGTGTGTGTGTGCATGTGCGTGTGTGTGTATACATGTGTGGTGGTAATATGTCCTCTAGAATGGAGATTTCTAGTGTCTGATTTTGTTTATAAACTACTTGTGGCCATACCCTGACTTTCTAGCTCATGCACTTCATTTATTATTTCCTAGTCAATCAGAAAACTCAGTTCTATTTGGAGAACTTGATGTCAATATTTACCTGAGGAAATTCTGACATTTGTCACCATGAAGTGGTAGATATTTTCTTAATTTATATCTCTAGATGATAGCCATGATTCATTCATTTTCCTAACCATCACTGCTTCTGGTCAGTAGTAATTCTGGATTCTCGATATACTCTTCATGGTTTCTCTCTATTGGTGTTTCTCTCTCTCTCTCTCTCTCTCTCTCTCTCTCTCTCTCTCTCTCTCTCTCTCTCTGTATATATATATATATCTTTGGATATCTTTGGGGGTCTATCCGCTTTGTGTGACCCAGGAATCTTCCCCTCTTCTGGTCAACTGAAGGTACCCTTCCAGGATTTCCAGTTCTGCTATTGCTAATTTCTATTTCTTACATATCTTTAATAATTTCAAAAAGATTTTTGCTAGAGTAGAAGAAATTCATGTGTTTATCAATCTTGGTAAATGGAACTATACTTGATCTATATTTTTACCTAGTACATATTTCCTTTAGTGATAATAATAGTTTTAACAAGTTCTGATAATACAAACTTTTTCTCAACATTTCTTAAATGGCTTAAATTACTGCAAAGATATTTCACCTCATATGACTCTGGCTAAAATACTTATTATTCACTCCACTATGGGAATCCTTCTAAGGTTGACTTTGGTTTTCTTAGACTTCTTTATAAAAGGGGTTGGGAGAGATACTAGACGGCAAATAAAATGTGGGGACTTTTTTTACTCATAAATGATCCTGAGATTGTCTCGCTCCATCATTGTTGGCCTATGCTATATTGGGCAAGTTACCAAGCTCTCTGTGCTTCTATTTGGCCATTGACTTAGATCAAGCAATGCTCTTCAAAATTTAGCATGACTATTAATCATCTGGATAAATTGTTAAAATGCAGATTTTGATTTGTAGATCTGAGATATAGCCTGATCATCTGGATTTCTAGTAAGCAACCAGGTCTTGCTGGTATTGTTCTGTGGGGCACAACTTGAGTAGCAAAGATCTAAGAAATAAGAAGGAACTGAAAATAAATGCATTCTATTTATTTCAAGCTATATATATGCCAATTAAATTGACCACCTGATAGTATACAAAGAGTGCATTAGAATCAGTGACCCTAATTTCTCATCTGCCCATGCTCTCTCTTCTGTTCTCAGGGCAAGATAATCTCATACGATAGATGATATGGTCTGACTCTGTGTCCCCACCTAAATCTCATCTTGAATTGTAATCCCCACGTGTTGGAGGAGGGACTCTGTGGGAGGTGATTAGATCATGGGGTGATTCCACATGCTGCTCTTGTGATAGTGAGTTCTCATGAGATCTAATGGTTTTACAAGGGGCTTTTGCCCCCTTCACTCTTCACTTCTCCCTCCTGCTGCCTTGTGAAGAAGGTGCCTCGCTTCCCCTTCACCTTCTGCCATGAATTTAAGTTTCCTGAGGCCTCTCCAACAATGTGGAACTGTGAGTCAATTAAACCTCTTTCCTTTACAAATATCCAGTCTTGGGCAGTTCTTTATAGCAGCATGAGAACAGACTAATACAGTAAATGTGACTGGTGATGAAGTAACATTAATGATATATCTTGGAAGATAGTTTGATTTCAACTAGACTTCCATTATAATTATATTCCTCCTCACCCAAAGGAGATCAGCCTAGATCTTACAGTGATTCTTAGTGTGTCTTGGGAGAAAGCAGAAGGTACGTTATCATTGTCTTATCCCATTGTACTAATGTCAGACGAGAGGCCTGGATTTCTATGATTCTTTTCCCGCAAGAGGTTGTATTAAAGTAGGAACTTTACTGCCTATGGAGTTCTTACCTCTAAGGCCTCGCAGAAGGACAAGTGTCTTACTTCCTGTTGGCCCAGCAGCTTTAACTTTCTAAGTGACAAGTTTCCCTTACCTTAAGCTACTTAATGGCCAATTTGGAGGTATTATCTATTTTGTGATCAAAGTACTTCTTGTTAGTAAACTGACAGGATGTTTGTTCTCCTTTTTTCTTAAATCTCTTAACACCAAGGAACAACAAACAGAAAATTTGAGACATTCCATTTAAAACCCCATAACACTAAAGCCATAATTTGGAGTTTATATATTTACTTCTATATTGATGTGTATTCTTAAGTAATTTTTAGGCTTGATTTTTTTATTCAGACATGAATTGTGAGTTCTTTTTTGCAGGGATTGTGTCATTGTATCTTTGGTACTACTTATATATTCAGTATGTTTTGTATACAGTAGTATTCATTTTGTATTTTTGACTGAATGAGTTTTAAATTTCAGTTTAGTAAATATTTTTCAGTAACACTTCATTGCTTCCAAGGTACACAAATAATGACTAATAGTACCTGACAAATTGGGCATGGTGATGATTAGATGATTAAATTATATTGATAGTTTTTCCCTAACCCTAAATGTCACAGAAAAACGTAGAGCATATTGTATGGTAATTGCTTCTACTACAGGTGTGTGCATGTATGTATGTGTGTGTGTGTGTGTGTGTGTGTGTGTGAGAGAGAGAGAGAATTCAAAAGCAGATAAAGTCTAGTGAGCTACAAGTAGCAGAGCTCTTGAAATAACTCTTCCTAAATGATATATCCTGCTTAAAATGATGAAATAAAATTTAAAATGGAGCCTTCAGGTTTGTGGACACTTAAAGTGTGGTAATAAAAGCTAAAATGAGGTATCCAAGGTCATGGCAGTGAGAAGAAAGAAAAATAGCAGATAGCACACATGAAAATTACTTCAAGCAATAACATGAAATAGAAGAGAAAGTGACATGTTTTTCATTGGGCAACATAAGAACCTACTAAATCCAGTAAAGTCCTTGAATCTTATCAAATTCACCTTTTTAAAAACGTACTCAGAATATTTCCAGATCTCACATCCTATGATGACTCTTTCGAGAACACAAAAAAGTGGTTGTTAAAAAATGTCATTCATTTGGATAATTCTTTTTCTCAAGTCCTCCTCTACATTTGATGGCCCCCAAGTAATTGTCATGAGCATCTCTTCTACTATCAAAATGTCACTACAATGGATGATAAATTGGATAAAAACCTACCCTTGGCATAAAGGGAAGGTAAATAAACAGAATAGAATATAGACATATCTCTCACCATTAACACCCATATCTGTTTTGTGCTGATTTGGAGCATACTAAGCCAGAGTTGTCCGCACTAATCTAAAGGGCAAGGCAAAGAAAAATGCAGTGACGCCAGACACATTGGGAACTATAATGTTTGCTGGAATATGTCCTTCAATGAAGGAGTCCTTGGTCAAATTCTCAGTTCCTGACTCATCAGCTTATTCCCTTAATAGCTTGGAGCCAATGATTCTTTCTGGAGCATGCGAAATCTGTCTATGGAGGTCAGTGCAAATGGAAGCATATGAGGAAATATACTCCCATGCCTTAATTTTTATTTTTTCTGGCTGAACATTTGTTCTTGTCTTAGAATCAGGAGAGCTAATATCACAGGAAGTAAAAGCTATTTCCTAGACTGGTGTGTTGCCCAATACCACATCCTGAAGTGCTGAGAAGAGAAAGAACAGCTGGGAAGGTAACAGTGCCAGCTGCTGGAAACCTATTTCCATGATTTTTATGATCCAGATAGGAAATTGGGGATGTAAGAGCTGCATGGAGACTTACTCAATACAGGGACCATATTTTTAAAATATCTCTATAATTTAATCCTTGGTACATTGCCCAGCACACATGAGAGGTGCTCAATAACTGTTACTGAATGTGAATTGATGATTTTATATTCATCAGCCTGACATTTCACTACCTGGAATAGCTAATGTGATTCCAAAAACATGGAATATTGTGTTGCACATGCTTTATTTGTTGTATAAACTCTAAGAACTCTCACTATTTAGATATTTACATCGTAAGAAAAATCTACATCTTCTCTGACCTCAGTATCCTTCAAGGTCAATCTCAAATCTATAAAAACATTTTCCTTTTACATTTTCTCATTTTAAAATAATCTTTCATGTAAACTCATATTATAGGCCTTTTGAAAGCCTAAGCTAGTCATCTTCAGTGATTTCTTCCCATTTATATATTCAGTTAGTTCTGAAAGAATCGGCATCAGTCAGAATGATTTTTTTCTCATAGAAACACTTTACCTTGTTCACACTTATTATGTCTGTTTCATTGGCCCATCTATTGATATAACTTTCATATATTTGTCAAGTAAGAAAATGATACTCATTAATCTATATTTCTCAGCTTAACTTTTATGATTTTTTTGAATTTGATTCATATTAGCAATTCCACAGTCCTATAGCATGTTAGAGGTGGATAATAAATTTTACCTCTTAGCCAAGAGTTTTATATTTACATATTTGTATTTTTCAACCTCCTTTCATGGATATCATACTGCTCTATGATAGAGTGAGCTTTATACTCAGTCATACTTTTTTCAACTTCTTTTTATTTTTCAACACTTTTTCTTTTTTTTTCGTAGTGATAGGGTCTTGCTATGCTAGCCAAGCAGGCTGGTCTCCAATTACTGGCCTCACGCTATCCTCCTGCCTCCGTCTCCCAAAGTGTTGGAATTACAGACATGAGCCACTGCATTCAGCCTATTTTTAAAACCCTTAACAAATATTTAGGAATAAATATCTGTCAAATGTTTTTCTCAAGAAACACTAAGACATGAAGTTCAGTACCAGTCTGCACTAGCCTATTCTGCCCGTATTTCTCTTCATTTTTTAATGATACACATAAATGTCTGGCATACTAAATAGTTCAGTTATTCTTGTTTGTTGGTGGTCCTTCATCACTGGAATGTAAGGGCCATGTAGGCAGGGACATAAGACTGCTTTTTTTCATTGATTGTTATATATTATGTTCTAGAATCTAGAATAGTGTTTGATGTAAAATAGTCCCACAAGAAATATTTATTTAGTAAATAAAGTTTGTCTTTTTGTTACTTCTATTAATTTCTGAGCATGTCTTCTACATACTGATCATTGAATGTCCCCTGCTACCTTTTTCCTGCTGATTAACTGATTTTTTTTAGTTTAGTTTTTGTATTTGTCTGTCCTTCCAGCTGGTACTTTTCTCCCTTTTGAATATTTTATAGATTTTTCATAACTTATGTTATTAAAACAAAATTTAAAAGAGACTTGGAACAAAGGAAATAAATCATTATTTTATTTTGTCTTGTGTACAGTCAGCGTCTCATAAGATTCAGTAAGTCTGTAAGCCAAAAACTATTGCTCATTTCAGAAAGGAGCTACTCTGATTCCTGGAGTACAGTAGAAGAGTAGAGTGAAATAGCTGGAATATCAGCCACCAGCAATGGAATCACCACTAGACTTAACACGACAACCATGCCTTCTGCTTGAGAACTTCTATGCTTTTGTGTTTTGCAGTTTTATGTCTGGTTTGTAACATGTTTTTCAATCACTGCTGATAGTTTTAGACTGGTTATTTTCAGTTCAAGTATGTCACATAAAATGAAATCATTTTTCTTAAACATTAACATCTATAAACTGGGGGAGATAATTAAAAAATAATGTACATAAATTCTCATGAATATTACAAAATTTTGACTTTTAATGCTTGGTCACTTTAAATGACAGAATTCAAAGTTGTAAAAAGAACTCCTTGACTTAATCCATTCAAAATCCTTTAAATTTAAATCACCAGGATCTAATCAAATTGGCTTCCTTGCAAATAACTTGAGTTAGCCACTTAAGATTCAGCAGGATTACACTAAACCCTTGATAAGGATTTATACTCCCAAAGCACAGCAAAGACAAATAGTTAGAGTTAGACAAATTTACATGCATACCCAGAAGTAACTGATCTTCAGGAGTATAAGCATGGGAAATAGATATTACTATTTGTTTCTTTGCCAGTTTGTCGCTATGTTTCTTCATTCAAGCCAGAATTGCATTGCTAAAGATTCCACTGTGGCAGGTGAAAAGATGAATGGAATTTGGTTCTCTTTTGTGAGCTCTAAGAGGAAAGAGAAAGGACACAGTAAAGCTTTTATTGATCCAACTCCAAATCCAGTGTGTCTAACTAGGAAATTGTTCATTCAGATGAAAGCCAAAAAGCATCTCAGCCTTAATGTGGCTGAGACAGCAAAATCAATTCTGAACACAACAGCTCTGTTTAATAAATGTTCAAAGGAGAAAAAAGACCTTTATAAATTAATAAATGATATTGAGAATAAGAGATATGTAGCTTATACCTTGTATCCCTTTTATGATATACCAAAAGTGAAATAAGTGCTTTTTTGCTGGTAAAATAAAAATGACTATTTTCTTTACCCATTAAAAAGAAAATATTATCTTACTAAAACAGTGATTCTTTTACAATGGTTATTTTGAATATCACAATTAATTTATGCCTGTGGCCTAATCTTTCTTTCCAAAGACAGGATGGATTTATTCTCCCTATTAATCATATTTTATCCCATTTCTATAAATTATTCTTGTGCATATTTAAGAGTAAGTCTTCAGCAATGTTTGGGTTTTTATGGGCTGATAATTTTGCCTACTGCTAACTTCCAAAAAGAGCATAATGCAATATTTAAATGGTTTTTTATGACTCATTCTATGAGTATTTTAAAATGATTGATTGCATGATGTTATGAATAAAAAAATGCCAATAAACACATATTTCTTAATAGATTCCTTGGACAGTGGATCAGAGTTTGTTAGTAATTATCTAACTTCCATTATTAAAAATACACTGGCTCCAGATACTCGCGATATAGCTTGTTTCCATTGTATATCTCTTTGTTATTCATATATTGATAGATAAGATCTTGATTTAGTTCTTGTCAATCAATATAAGCCTTTGAAAATATATTTTTCTAATAATCACTCCTCATATTGAAAATGTCATCTTACCTTATTTATGTTTTCATAGTAATGTACTATATTCTCTGATATTCTTCATGCAATGTCTATTAGGGAATGGGGTAATCACAGAAAATCCTTTTCTGTATTAATAATGAAATATGTACAGCTTGGTAAGTATTTCAGATTTCAGTATAAGGTAACCAATATCACTTAAATTTTTGTCAGATAATGGGTTTACCTATACTAGCTGGAACTTGTTTTATAGATGCAGGTGTCTTTTTTATTTCAATGAGTGAAGACTTACAGGCCAGATTCTGGAATGTTGTACCAATAAAAAAAATCATAATAACTAATCAAAATGAAACACAGGCTTATATTGTATGCCATATTTATTTGCTTACTTGCATACAAATTTGAAAGAACAGATTATCTTGCCAGCTACTTAATCTAATGGTGTGTGTAAAATCATCAATATAATTGGACTGCATCTGGATTATTCTGAAATGTACATCCTGTGATCATTATTACAGTTGAAAGAACTGATTTGATTGCTGTTACTTTGTTGAAGATTCTGTGGCCAGGTCCAATTGTATTGTGAGTCATTATAGGATGTAATTTTGTATTAATCTGTTAGGAAGTATGAAGTACATGTATAAATTCATATTTCTAAAAAAATTATTTTTAATTTTGTGGGTACACAGTAGGTGTATATACTTATGGAATGTAATTTTATATTAATCTGTCAAGAAGTATGACATATATGTATAAATTCATTTTTCTAAAAAAAATTATTTTTAATTTTTGTGGATACACAGTGAGTGTATATATTTTTGGGGTGCATGAGATATTTTGATACAGGCATACAATGCATAATAATCGCATCAGGATAAAAGGGGTATCTATCACTTCAAGCATTTGTCTTTTGTGTTACAAACAATCTGATGATATTCTGTTAGTTATTTAAAAATATACAGTTAAATTATTGACTGTTATCACCCTGTTGTGTTATCAAATACTAGATCTTATTCATTCTTTCTAATTATTTTTTGTACCCATTAACCATCCTTACTTTCCCTCTCCCCTTCACTACCTTTCCCATCCTCTGATAACCGTCGTTCTGCTCTGTATCTCCATGAGTTTAATTGTTTTAACTTTTAGACCCCATAAATATAAGTGAGAACATGCAAAGTTTGTCTTTCTGTGCCTGGCTTACTTCACTTAACATAATGACCTCCCGTTCCATCCATGTTCTTGCAAATGACAGGACCCATTCTTTTTATGGTTGAGTAGTACTCCATTATGTATATGTACCACATTTTCTGTATTCATTAGTCTGTTGATAGACACTTAGGTTGCTTCCAAATCTTGGTTATTGTGAATAGTGCTGCAATAAACATAAGGGTGTAGATATCTCTTCAAATATACAGATTTCCTTTCTTTTGGGTAGCCTGGCAGTGATGTTGCTGGATAATAGGTACCTCTATTTTTGAGTTTTTGGAAACTCCAAACTGTTCCTCATAGTGATTTTATTAATTTAGATTCCTCCCAACAGTATCTGAAGGTTCCCTTTTCTTCACGTCCTTGGCAGCATTCATTATTGCCTGTCTTTTGGGAAAAAGCCATTGGAACTAGGGTGAAATCATATCTCATTGTAGTTTTGATTTGCATTTCTCAGATGATCAGTGATGTTGAGCACATTTTTATATACCTGTTTTCCATTAGAATGTCTTCTTTTGAGAAATGTCTATTCAGATCGTTTGCCCATTTTTAAATTAGATTATTAGATTTTTTTCCTGTTGAGTTGTTTGAACTTGTTACATATTCTGGTTATTAATCTTTTGTCAGATGGGGAGTTTGCAAATATTTTCTCTTATTCTGTGGGTTGTCACTTCACTTCGCTGATTGTTTGCTGTGCAGAAGCTTTCTAACTTAATGTAAACCCACTTGTTCATTTTTGCTTTGATTGTCTGTACTTGTGGGGTAATACTCAAAAAGTCCAGAAGAACTCTGAATTACCAGAGATTTGATCTCTCTTCTTACTTTCTCCTAAACAAATAGAGTCTCTCCTTCTGTGCTGAGCTTCCTGGAGCTGGGGGAGGGATATAAATTGCCACTGTGGCAACTGCCGCTGTGGCAACTGCCGCTGTGGCAACTGCCACTGGGACTGTGCTGGGACAGACCTGAACCCAGCACAGCACTGGGTCTCACCCAAGGCCTGTTGTAACTACTACCTGGCTACTGTCTATGTTCACTCAAGGTCCTAGGATTCTACAATAAGCAGGTGACAAAGCCAGCCAGTCTTGTGTCTTTCCCTTCAGGGACAAGTTTTCCCCTGCCCTGGGTAGGTCCAGATATGCCATCTGGAAACCAGGGCCTGGAGTCAGAAACCTTAGGAACCTAACTCACGCTGTATTCTATTGTGGCTGACTTGGAATCCAAGCCACAAGACAAAGTCCTTCCCACTCTTCCCTCTCATTTCCACAAGCAGAGGAGTCTTTTCCCAGGGGCCACCCACCACAGGCCCATAGGGAATACTGCCAGGCTAACACTGATGTTCACTCAAGGCCCAAGGGCATGAAAGTTACTAGGTGTGGGACTCACCCTTCTGGCCCAGGGCAGGTCCAGAAATGCCCTCCAAGAGCCAATACCCAGAATCGAGGACAACAAGTGCCTGCTTGGTGCTGTACCCCACTGTGGCCAACTCGGTACTTAAACTGATTTTTGTTTCTCATGAAGGTGCCTGTTTTGTGTAGATGGTTGTTAAATGTGGTGTTTCTGTAGGGAGGACAATCAGTGGAGGGTTCTGTTGGGCCATTTTGCTCCGCCTCATGCTCCCCACATATAAATTCATTTTAAACTTCACATTTAAATATTGGCATTTTAATTTCAAAGTAAGTACTGTTTTGTTTCTTCACTTTCTACTTTATACTTCAGTTGTGAGTTCCTATGTCACTGCTTGCACTGTTATTTGTTTATTTTTAAAAATTTCTGGTTTTGCTTTTGCTTCTACTTGGAACATCCCTTTACACTCTTTTGGGTTGTTACTTGCCAGTTTAGATGCTTTCTTACCCAGGAAATATTAAAGTTCTATACTAGAGCCTTGTACTTTATTAGCTGGAAATATTTGCATGTAGCAGATCATATTTAAATGATACATCATTGTTCCTATTTCATTTATCCACTCCTCAAAGCCTGTGACTATTTTAATTAATATCATATATCAGTGCTTATAAACAAGGCCTGTCCATAAATGTTGTTAGGAACTGTTTTACTTATTTTGTTTTTATTCCTTAGTTTTAACATCTTTATTATAAAATCAAACACAAATACAGAAAGCCATACAAAACAAATATATAGCTTAATGAATTATATTATGTTGGGCACAATTGTAATTACCACCTAGGTTACAAAATCAGAAATGATACCAACCGACCAAAAACTCTTTCGCTTACCCCACCTCAGTCACAAAACCCTCATTCTCTCCCAAACTAACAATTACAGTGATCACCTTTTTGTTTTTCTTTATATGTAGTCACATAACTATTCATTCTTAGACTTCATAGTTTACTCTTGCTAATTTTAATTTGTTATGTTTCTTAATCTACAGATTCCCCATTCATTTATTTCTTTTCTTATAAATTATTTGTTCAAGAACCTGGGCTGTTTGACCTACAATGTTTCCTATATTCTGGTTCTGTTGATTTTAAACGTTTACTTAGAGTATAGTTCAAAACGTTCTTCTCTTCTCTGCAAATTGGCATGTGAACCCAGAGGCTTGATCAGACTCAGATTTGAATGCTTTGGCAGGTTTATAGTTGATGGTGTATTTGTACATAATTTCTGGTTTTCACATTTTTGTTTTATGTGTTCAAAGTCATTGAGGCTCAATGCCAAGATTTGTTGATTTATCATAGGTTGAAAAGATGATATCATTTTTATTTGATTAAAATATGTAAAACTGCTTCTCTCTCTTTATATATTATTCATTGATACATTTCATATAAGAAAAGCAAAATGAATGCTCTATTTTCTTTTTCATGGTTTTCTAGGTAGTGAATTTGTTCTTTATCCTCCAAAATTGGCCAGGGAGATGTTTAAAATGATATTAATAGTTCTACAAATAACTACATATTTAATATTATCCACCAGTCTTTACATCAAAACACTCTTTTATTCATTATCTAAAGTTCATTTTCTAGTAGATACCTCAGAAAAATCTCATGTTTGCAATAGTTCCTGAAATCTTGCATGTTATAACAGATTTTCTGTACTCTTGTTCTTGATACTTAGCTTTTCAGCATATAAGTTCTTCACTTGCTTTTTCTTTGCTTTGCTATACTGATAGCTTACTCTGTGTTTTTCTGCTTTAAAGCTTTTCTAATGACCATCTTATTTTTTTCCTTTTATACTTTATCTTTTCCAATAGTTGATCAAATAATTTTTACTGTTTGCCTTAAAATCCAGTGATTTTATTAGAATATTTTTGAATCCTTGAAATCAATTTAGTGAGAATTAACACTTTTGAGTTTTATTTCCCATGAACATAGCATGTCACTTCATTTATCTAGGTCTTCTTGATTTCTTTCATCAATGTTTTATAGTTTTTAGCATATATAACTTGCACCTGTTTTGTTAGGTTTATATAAAAATATTTCATAGTATTTGTTGTAATTGTAAATGGTACCATTTTAAAATTCAATTTCCAATTATTTACTGGTAGTAGATTTTAACACAATTAATTATTATATATTAAACTTTAATGCAGCAATGTTGCCAAATTCACTGATTAATTCTCTGAACTTTTTGTAAATTCTTTGAGATTTTTTAATGTAAACTATCACATGTGCAAAAATAGAATTTTTTCTCTTGAATCTTGGTGATTGGGTTTTATTTTCTTGCACTATTGCATTACCTATGGTCTCCAGTACAATGTAAAATAGGAGTAGTGAAATCAAGAACTCAGTCCTATTCACAATAGCCACAGAAAGAAAAATACTTAGGAATACAGCTAACTCTGGAAGTAAAAGATCTCTAGAATGAGAATTATAAACCATTGCTGAAAGAAATCAGAGATATCACAAACCAATGAAAAAAACCATTCCATTCTCATGAATAGGAAGAATCAATATTGTTAAAATGGCCATACTCCTCAAAGCAATTTTCAGATTGAATGCTTTTCCCATCAAACTACCAGTGACATTCTTCACAGAATTAGAAAACAGTATTCTAAAATTCTTTTGGAACCAAAAAAAGAACCTGAATAGCCAAAGCAATCTTAAGTAAAAAGAACAAAGTTAATAGTATCACACTACCCGACTTCAAACCATACAACAAGTCTGCAGTAACTAAAACAGCATGGTACTGGTACAAAAATGGACACATAGACCAATGGAATAGGTAGAAAACCCAGAAATAAAGCCATAAACCTACAATTATCTAATCATTGACAAAGCCAGCAATAACAAACACTATTCAATAAATGGTGCTTGGATAACTGGCTAGCCATACAAAGATGAATGAAACTGGACCCCTTTTTCACCATATAAAATAATCAACTCAAGGCATATTAAAGACTTAAATGTAAAACCTAAAAATATAAATCCCCTGGAAGAAAACCTAGGAAATATCATTCTGGACATCAGCCTTGGAAAATTCATGGCAAAGACTCCAAAAACAATTGCAATAAAAATAAAAACTGACAAGTGGGACCTAATTTAACTGAAGAGTTTCAGCACAGGAAAGTACCAACAGAGTAAGCAGACAACCTACAAAATGGGAGAAAATATTTGCATACTATGCATCTGGCAAAAGTCTAATATCCAGAATGTATAAGGAACTTAAATCAACAAGATAAAGACAACCCTATTAAAAAAATAGGCAAAGACATAAACAGAGACTTCTCAAAAGACATACACATGGCCAACAAGCATATGGGAAAAAAAGTTTAATATCATTAATCATTAGAGAAATGCAAATCAGTACCACAATGAGATACATCTCACACCAATCAGAATGGCTATTATTAAAAAGTCAAAAAAAATAACAGATGCTGGCTAGGTTGTAGAGAAAAGGGAATGCTTATATGTTGGTGGGAATGTAAATTAGTTCAGCCACTGTGGAAAGCAGTCTGAAGATTTTTCAAATAACTTAAAATACAACTACCATTTGACCCAGAAATCCCATTACTGGGTATATACCCAGAGGAATATCAAGCATTCTACCATGAAGACACATGCACTCATATGTTCATCACAGCACTATTCACAACAGCAAATACATGGAATCAACCTAGATGTCTATCAGTGGTGGACTGGATAAAGAAACTCTGTTACATATATACCATGGAATACTATGAAGCCATAAAAAAGAATGAAATTATATCCTTTACAGAAACATGGATGAAGCTGTAGGTCGTTATCCTAAGTGAAATAATGCAGGAACAGAAAACTAAATACCACATCTTCTCACTTACATATGAGAACCAGCCTTGCATATTTCAGAACAAACTCAACTTGGTCATGATGTAATACCATTTTTATATATTGCTAAATTCAATTTACTACTACTTTCTTGAGGATTTTTGCATCTATGATTTTGAGAAGTATTGGTCTATAGTTTTCTATCTGTTGGTATATTTGGTTTTGATATCAGAGTAATTATGACTTCATAAAGAGTTGGAAAATGTTCTTTTTCTTCAATTTTGTGAAACTTTGAGTAAAACTTATATTACCCATTAAATATTTGATAAAATTGCCCAGTAAAGCATCTGTTTTGGGAATTTGTTGCTGTTGCTATTGATAGATTTTAACCATAAATTTAATTTATTTAATAGATATAAGATTACTGAAACTTTCAATTTCTTCTTGGTAGTTAGCATCTCTCAAAGACCTTTCAATTTAAGTTATTGTATTTATGGTCATAGCATTATCTATAATATTCCCTTATTCATCTCCTATTACCTGTAGAATGTGTAGTGAATGAGGATATCCCCTCTTTTATTTCTGACATTACTATGTCCATTCTCTATTTTTCTTGGTCAGTCGGTCTGGTATAAAGATCATTGACTTTACTGATGCTTTCAACAGACCAGCTTTTAGTTTCATTGACATTTTTCCTATTTTATTTTTTATTTTAAATTTTACTGATTTCTACTTTTATCTTTATTATTTTTGTTTTTGGTTTTCTTAAGTGTAACTTACCTACTTTTTTGTGGAGCAATTTTAGATAATTATTTGAGACATCTTTCTAATATAAATGTTTATGCTATAAACTTTCCTCTGAGCAACTCTGTAGCTTCATTCCACAAATTTTGTTTAGTTGTATTTTCATTTTAAGTCAATTTTAAACATGGGAGACTGCTTCTTTGACACATTAGTTATTTAGACTTTTTTTTATTCCAAAATATTTGGCGATTTCCTGTCTCTCACTTATAAATTAATTCTATTCTCATGAGAGAACAAACTTTAAAATTAATTGCATTTTCCTTTTTTTGGCCGAAATTATTGTCTATCTTGGTGACTATTTTATATGTACTTGAAAACGACGTATATTTTTCTGTTGGATGGAGTAACCTAATGTCAAGTAACTCATTTTTTGTCTACTTTTTCTATCAACTACTAAGAGAGGAGTGTTGACATTGTCTTCAACTATAAATATGATTTCACTCCTATAATTATTTTTCCTGTGTAATTTAAAGCTCTCTTTTTAGATGAGTACACAATACATTATATCTTCTTATTGAATTGTACCCTTGATCATTACAGCTTTGAACTGTGCCATCTGGGTTGTCTATTAATTTTTATGTGGAGATTGAAGAACTCTGTACTGTCTTTCCAGAATACTCCAGAAAGGTTTTTACGTGAATAAAATGACCAAAGGTATTGTAAGCCTATAAGCTGCCTCTTTGAAAACTAGAGAAAAGATATTTCCTCTCACTGTGCACACATTTTCAGATACATATTTTGGTGAGAAGCTAATTCCTTTGTGTGAATTAGAAACAAGTGCCTCTTTTTCTAAAGAACCCCTCTTCCATGCACACAACTTGGTGTGAAGCATCAGACTAGATATTTGCTCCTGCTTAACCTAAATCTAAGTGCTCTTGTGCTTTAAAGAAACTGCTCAACCATACATATCCAAATGCAGTGGCCCTGGTGATTACTCCCAGTCAAGATATGAATAGTTTATGCTCCAATGTTATTTTCTCTGTGACAGACTCATAATAATGATACATAAAGTATGAAAAGGAACACTAAAATGTCTTAGGTAGGATCAAGCATAACAAACAATGTTGTGGCCACAAATGAAATAGTAATTTATGAGACTAAGAAAAATTCATGCATGTGCTGTATAACCAGCATCCTGTGGTAGTCAGGAAGTTACTCCTGCAGGGTCATATGAAGTAAGTGTTCTAAGTGAGATGGTAGATGTGAGCCAGGCTCACTGCATAAATACAACGATTTGGTTGGCAGTGTTCCCACCTCCCACCTGTGAAAGAAAGTTGAAAAAAATTCTTCCAGTTGCTTTCTGGCTCTATGGGCTACAGGAAATGGTGAGCCTGGGGACATGAGAGGAAATAAGGCAGGATCACCAACAGAGTCTGAAACTTATTTGCTGTTGGCTCAGAGACTTGATATCTGCAATACCTATAATGTCATTACGTGGCGGAAAAGATCACACTTTTATTTTAAAATCTAGTCCTGGTCTGTGGATCTGAGGATGAATTTCTGTGACCCTATAGGAGTGTACTCCTAGTTTCTTCTGCTTGCCTCCAGATGTAGAGTACAGCAAGCTCTTAGCTTATGCTTATTTACCATTTTACAGCTTTATTTTGGGAACTTCAGGAAATTGTGTATGTGAATGTTATATTAAAAATGATAACGGAATTATGTTTATGTAGGGAAATGTTCTAGTTCTTAAGAGATGCATGCTGATGTATTTGGTGTCATGCAACAATGACATGGTGTCATGCAACAATGTCATGCAACATGGTGTTATTGCAGAGATTGTTGCAAATATGAAACAATGTCTGAAACTTCCAGATGATTTAGTAGAGAAACTTATTATCTATTTATCTATAGCTATTGGTCTAGATATATCTATTTATCATCTTTATCACCATCATCATATGTCTATTATCTATACAAAGATAAATCCAGATGAAAGAATATAGATATTTGTTATAGTATTCTTGTGTAGATTTTAAAATTTTCAAAATAAGATGAAGAAAATAAGACAAAATAAGACCTGTGAGGTCTCTGAACCTACTTTTTTTTTTGTTTCCATTTTCTGGTCACAATCCCACTTTCCAGGATAACCTCATTAAAACCTTTGTAAATATAGTAACATTTTTTTTCTGTTGTCTCAGTGATATGAGAACCCCAGAATGACCAAGTGACTGTTTCAGCCTTCAGTTCAATAAAATGGCCATTATGTCCCCTTGGGCAAGTATTCTCAAGGGTGTGTACTCCACCAACAGAAGACAAAGTTTAATAAGAGGAAGAAATGCTTTATGAATGGGTCATTTGCGATTATAGTTACAGAAATCCTTGGAGCAGTGCAGCTTTATCATGAGAGGAACAACAATGTACATCAAGAGCTGATTTAAAGCCTACACCACATCTTAAAGGATCAAACCCTCAAAGTCATGCCATCCAGACTAAACCATAACTAAATATTCAGTAGACCATTCAACATTTTCTAAGGCCAGCTATTGGGTAAATAAGCTCCACATCAGGATTTTATGGGCTCATTGCTTTTGAGAAAAAAATAAATTTCTATATCAAAAATCATGTTCATTGATGGTAGTGTTGGCAGAAGCACTGCAAGCATGAGAGTCAGATTCACAACCTAAGTATTGGTTTAGTGAAGATAAAGTACCAACATTTCCCTGAAGGAAGATGTCCAACAGAATAAAACTGCCATTGACTAATGCCCTCCGTGAAATTGTGGCTTAGTGTTAATCTCTGTTATTTGGTAGGTTGGATGATCAACAATGGTTGTAGCCAGATATCCTTTTTGTGAGGAAATCAATATTTTTATTTCCATGTATAATCTCCATCTATGCCTCCATGGCTACTTTGTACATTAGTCCATTGAGCAAGTGGCTGGGCTAGCTGGGCAAAAAAGCAAGTTGTTATTCACAGAATATATTTTTCCATCTGATGGATAAAAATCTTTATTACAGTGGATGCACATAGGTAAACATCTCACTGGACACAAATATTCTTACACTTTGCACTCATTCCAAGATTCTATCCACACACTATTCTCCAGGATTCTATGTCACCAGTTCTCTAATCTTGTTATTTCCATGTCCTTTGATATTTGAAACATTTGTTAGCCACTTCCCAATAATTGATATAATTGATGTAGATCTATCTCTAGACTTCATTCATTCCAGATAAAGTGAACAAGCAGTTATCTATCATCATTTTTGCTCATAAGGAATGTTTGCCTTCACTACTGTCTTTCAAGTCCACCACTGAAAAACTGTAATGCTGCAGCTGTTTACCTCTGGCTGGCACCGGCAAAGGATCACAAGGACAAGAGGACATGTTGAGAGGTCATAGGTAATGGTTGTGGCCAAGACGTTGATGCAGCAGAAGCGAGTGCCTTGTGAACCTATACTTGCTTATGCAACATGCCTGTGCTTCAAGATCTGCTTGAATCAAGTCTTATAAATGCCACTCTCTCTTGATAATGGAGTGCTGTTGTGCACATCCAAATTTATGAGTTGGTATTTCAGACAACATCCAGTTCATAATAGGCATTTTAGTTTACATGATTACTTAGTATACGACTGCCCACCATTTATCCTTTGTCAGGCATAGATATTTTCAAAGAAGTGATGGAAAATGTTTGGAAACCATTGCTTTTAGAGGATCGTAAAGACCTGAGTGAAGGTAACTTTCACTGAAAATTGAACCTGCTGCAGAGGGTTTTTTAAAAATTATTATTTGTACAAATTGATGGGATACATGAGAAATTCTGTTACATGTATATAAAGCATAGTGATCAAGTCAGAGTTATTTAAGGTGTCCATCTCCTGAGTATGATACATTCTTGTTAAGTATAGTCACCCTACTAAGCTATTAAACATTAAATTTATTCCATGTATCTTACTGTATGTTTATACCCCTTAACACAGTTCTCTTTCTCCTTTCTCCCCTCCTTAACCTTGTAAGTCTGTTATCTATCTTTCCACTCTCTACCTCCATGTGGTATAACTTTTAGCACCCACATATGAGTTAGAACATACAATACTTATCTTTTTGTGCCTGTGTTATTTCACATAAGTGAATGACCTTCAGTTCCATCCAAGTTGCTACAAATAACATGATTTCATTCTTCTTGTGGCCAAGTATAATTCAATTGTGTATATATGCCATATTTTCTTCATCCATTCATCCAATAATGGACATTTAGGTTGATTCCATATGCTTGCTATTGTGAATAGTGTAATAAACATGCAACTGCAGGTATCCTTTTGATATATTGTTGTCTTTTCATTCGGGTAGATACCCAGTAGTGGAAATTCTGGACCAAATTGTGACACCATTTTTAGTTTTTTGAGAAACCTCTATTCTGTTTTCCACAGTAGCTGTACTAGTCTATTTTCCCACCAACAGTGTATGTAAGTTTCCTATTCTTCACATCCTTGCCAACATCTATTTTTGTGTTTTTAGTAATAGACTTTGTTACTAAGGTAAGGTGATATTTCTTTGTGGTTTGATTTGTGTTTGTCTGATGATTAATAATAATAAGCAGTTTTCAATTTGTATGTCTTCTTTGGAGAAATGTCTGTTCATGTCCTTTGCCTACTTTTTAATAGTATTGCTTTTTTTTTCTGTTATTTGTATTTCCTGTATGTTCTGGATGTTAGCCTCCAGTCAGATGAATACTTTGAAAATATTTTCTCTCATTCTACAAATTATCTCTTCAGTCTGTTGATTATTTCTTTTACTATGCAAAAACTTTTTAGTTTAATTAAGTCTTATTTATTTATTTATTTATTTATTTTTGCCCATTATTTTGAGGTCTTAATCATAAGTTCTTTGCCTAAACCGATGTCCAGGAGAGTTTTCCCTAGCTTTTCTTCTAATTTTTTAAAAATAGTTTTTGGTCTTATGTTTAAGGCTTTAATTCATTTTGATTTGATTTTTGTGTGTTGAGAGTTAGGGGTCCAGTTTCATTATTCTGCATATGGCTATCCTATTTTCCCAGCACTATTTATTGAAGAGGGTTTCCTTTTCCCAATGTAAGTTTTTCTCAAATTTATGGAAGATCAATGAACTGTAAATATGTGATTTTATCTGTGGATTCTCTATTCTGTTTTGTCTGTCTGTCTATTTTTATACCAATCCCATGCTGTTTTGTTTACCATAGGCTTGTAATATATTTTGAAATCAGGTGATGTGATGTCTTCAGCTTTGTTCTTTTTGTTCAGAGTTGCTTTGGCTATTCATGTTCCTTTTGGTTCCATATGAATTTTAGAATTTGTTTTCTAATTCTGTGAAGAATGACATTGTTATTTTGGTAAGAATTGCATTGAATCTGAATATTGCTTTGGACAATGTGGTCATTTTGACAATATTCTTCCAATCCATGAGCATGGGATAATTTTCCATTTGTCTGTGTCACCTCGATTTCTTTCATCAGTGTTTTGTAGTTTTCCTTGTAGAGCTCTTTCACCTTCTTGCTTAAATATTTTTCTAAGATGTTGTTTTGTAGTGATTGTAAATGGAATTGCTTTCTTTCTCAGCTAGATCATTATTGGCATTTAGAAATGCTACAGATTTATGGATGTTGATTTTGTATTCTGTATCTTTGCTGAATTTATTTATGAAATCTAAGAGTTTTTTGGTGGAGCCTTTAGGTTTTTCTTGGTTTAAGATTATATTATCAGCAAAGAGGAACAATTTGACTACCCTTTTCCTGTTTTTATTCCTTTTAGTTGTTTATCTTGCCTAATTGCTCTGGTTAGAACTTCCAGTTCTATGTTAAATAGGACTGGTGAAAGTGTACATCTTTGTGAAGGAACTTAGGGAACTGATTTTACTGTTTTTATTGGTTTTCTTGTTAAGGATGGGTCCTTAAGATTGGATTAATAATTGGGTAAAAAATTTACAGTCAAATGTAACACAAATTGTCTACAGAATTCAAAGAGGTCTACCAAAGATCCCTAAAAATTGAGTGCAATATGTAACAACTTCTCTTGAATTAAAGTACATGACTTGTAATTCACCATTTTAACCATATTAAAGGATACAGTTTAGTGACACTTAGTACATTCACATGTTATGCAACCATCACCGCTATCTAGTTCTGTAAGATTTTATATATCTCAAAGTATTTTCCAATTTTCTTCATGATTTTCAAAATTTGACACATATGCTGCTTAAGAGTGTGTTGGTTCATCTTTATATATTTGTAAATTTTGTAGTTTTCCTTCTGATCTTATTTCTGGTTACATTTGACTGTGATCCATAAAGATATTTTATAGGATTTTAATCTTTTAAAATTTATTGAGACTTGTTTCTTGACCTCATATATGGTATATTCTGAAGAATATTGCGTTTGCACTTGACACGAATGAGTATTCTGCTGTTGTTGGATGAAATGTTATATATATATATATGCATGCATATATATGTATATATATGCATATATACATATATATGCATATATATATGCATGCATATATATGTATATGTGTATATATATGCATGGTTATATATGCATGCATATATATGTTTATAAATGTATGTTATATATATGCATGCATATATATGTATATATGTATGTTATATATATGCATGCATATATATGTATATATGTATGTTATATATATGCATGCATATATATGTTATATATGTATATATATGTTTTATATATATATGCATATTTCTTTTGGGCCTTATTAGGTTTTAGTGTTCAAATTCTATATTTTCTTAATAAACTTGTCTAGTTGTTTTATCATTTATTAAAGTGGATTATTGAAGTCTTCAACTATTGTTGTGGAATTGTCTATTTCTCTCTTCAATTCTGTCAGTGTTTCTCATATTCATATATCAAAATCCACTTTTATATATTCACAGTGGGATCACTGTTTTTAGTTACATATAAATGTTATATTTGTTTATAATTGTTATATCTTCATAATGGGTTGACCTTTTTATCAATATATAATGCTTGTCTTTGTCCCTCGTTATGACTTTCAACTTAAAGTCAATTTTATGATAGAATAGTCACCCGAACTCTCTTTTGGCTATTTCCAACAAATGTCTTTTTCTATCTTTCACTCTCAAATTATTTGTGTCACTGACTCTAAAGTGAGACTTTTGTAGATAGCATATAATTGGATCATTAAAAATTTTCTTCCAATCTCTGCCTTTTAATTATAACTTAATCTATATATATTTGAATTAGTTACATGTAAGAATTGCCATTTTGCTATTTGTTTCCTACATGTCTTATGTTGTTTCTATTCTTCATTTCCTCTGTTACTGCCTTCTCTTGTGTTTACTTGATTTTTTTTGTTGTTAACCATTTTCATTCCCTTTTTATTTCTTTTTGCATATGTTTTTAGTTTTTTTCTTAGGAGTTACCATGGATATTACAAATAACACATTAAACTTACGACAATCAAGTTTGAATTGATATGAAGTTAACTTCAATACTATACAAAACTCTGCACTCGAATGGGATTGGAGGTAGTACACAAAACCTTTAGTATTCCCTTAGTTTGGTATTCTGTCACTTATCACATCTCTATTCATTGTGTGCCCAATAATTTAAATTTGTAGTTATTTTATGCATTAAAAATCATATTGAAAATTAAAAGTAGAGTTACAAATCAAAATTACAGTAACACTGCCTTTTATATTTGTCCAAGTGGTTACCTTTACTGGAGATCTTTATTTCTTCAGATGGTTTCAAGTTACCGTTTATTATCTTTTCATTTCGGTCTGCCTTTATCATTATCTTGTAGTACAGGTCTCTTGGTAACAAACTTCCTCAGCTTTTGTTTACCTACAAATATCTTAATTTCTTACTCATTTTAAAGAAAACTTTGTCAGATATAAAATTCTTGGTTGACAGTTTATTTCAGCAGTTTAAATATACCATCCCACTGGCTTCTGTTATCCATGGTTTCCAATGATAAACCAGCTATTAGTCTTGTTAAGGAATCCTTGCACATGATGAGTCATTTCTATCTTGCTGCTTTCAAAATTTTCTCTTTGTCTTTATCTTTGTACAGTTTGATTACAGTGTGTTTTGTTATGAATCTCTTTAGGTTTATCATGTTGGAATTTGTTGAGTTTCATGAATGTATAGATTCACGTCTTTCATCTAATTTCGTGTTTTCAGACATTATTTTTTCAAATATTCTTTCTACTCTTTTTGCCTCTCTTTTCTCTGTCAGACTCCCATGATGCACATATTTGTCTGCTTGATTGTGTCTTATTGGTTCCTTAAATCTATTCATTTTTATTTTTTATTTCAGCTCCTCATACTGGATCATTTTTATTGTCCTATATTTAACTGCTACTTTCTTTTTTGTGCTCAAATCTGCCTTTAAACACCACCTCTTCTAGTGATTTTTTAAAATTTCAGTTTTTGTAATTTTCTACTCCAGAGTTTCCATTTGGCTTCTGTTTATAATTTTCATCTCTTTATTGTTATTTTATATTTTGTGAGAAATCCTTCTCTTGTTTTTCTTTAGTTTTTGTCCATGGTTTCTCTTAGCTCCTTGAATTTTGATGTGGTTACAAAACATGCCTTAGACAGCTCAATGTGAATGGGAGTTACATGTGACACTTCCAGGTGAATGCCTCTAAGATCCAATGTACAATGGAAAGGGACAAACCTCACAGAAGAATGAGTCGAAGTGTGTGGAGAACAATAAACAAAGGAGCTATGTTGAGGGAGAAGAATTTATCTGTTTATGGAACATTCTCCTCCATCAGGGTAGCTGGATTGTAAAGTGTCTGCACAGTATATTTCAAAATTATACACACCCTAATCTGTTTATTTCCTGCCTCTCCTTTTTAGGAATAAGATTAATTTTTGAGGTTGTCTTCTTACTATTTCTCTATTTTCTATCAGGAGTGTGCAGGCCAAAAAAACATGTCTCTTTAGTTCATTTTTTTGTTTGTTTGTTTTCATTCGAAGGTAGATGCCATGATGTTTAGTGGTGGGAACAGTTAACATTCTGATCAGCTAACAGTACTCTGTGAAGTGGGGGACCAGTACTAAATGAACTCTGCACCTGAGGAATTCTCCAAATAAATTGGGTGGCTTGGCAGTTCACAATTTTGCAAGTCAGGAAAAGCCAGTTTTGAATGTAATGCGGAATACCATGTATCATCTCCTAATGGAAAGACTATCATGCATCATACAGAAGTCTTTCTCTGCAACTTGATGCTATGACTAGATGGGACTTTTAGGCTGTCCCCTTTGAGTGTATTTTAAATGCAGGAAAGAGTGATCCAAATATTGGGGACTAGAAGCTTAGATTGCGGTTATTATTGGGGCTAATCACAATTATATTCTAGCTCTCCTCCTTTGGCGTATGTGTTAAGATTGCCTTCCTTTTCTATGTGAGTGGAAATGATGTACATCTTTTAGGAGTCATTTCATTATTCACTATCATACTGTTTTCCTACCAAAATAATTGTGAAAACAAACGTTGAAGTGAGCCTCTATCAGACTGATTCTCTGTATGATATGCATTGAAGATTTGGTATAATCAAGAAATAAGCTTTTGTAGCATTTAGACAATAAGGATTGATTTATTTTGTACAGCATCTTAAACAAGGTAATACTGGCATTTATAATATTTAAGGGTGAAATCTATTATCCAATAAATGCACCCAAATAAAGCTCTCAGAAAGGTATGGTAAAGGAGCTGGTGGTGAGCATTGAATCTATTAAAAAAACAGAATCAGAAGTAAATACTGGCCAAAACTATGGCTTAAAAAGAGAAAATAAACATTGGAAATCTTGATAATATAAAAATAAGAACACAACTAACATGAGATAAAAGAATAGCAAGAGAGTTCCTATCTTAATTTTTTTAACAGGAAGTGAAATAATGTATACATTAAACATGTTGCTAAAATAGCTAACTTTATAATATTTAAGATAATATCTCTTGTGTTGATAAAACATTCATTTAGAGTTTTGAAATTATTTGTTTTTAATTAAGTTCCCCTTCTGTTAATTTCCAATGAAGTAAAACTTAGATAGAATTTAATTTTACTGTAATGACATGTGTACTGTATTTCAGGTCTTATAAGACCATGTTTATCCATTCCTTAATCTTTCCACCTATCTACATATCTCCTTTCTGCCCATCTGTCCTTCTATTTGTATATCCATCTAACTATACATAGTGATATAGGGATATGCCTGAAATGTTATTCATATTAAACTTATAGGTGGTAGAATTTACAGTAATACTTTCTTAGATGTTTCTACTTTTATATATTGAATGCCTTTTGTTTTTTTTTCAAGACTACAAAATTTGAAATCTGAAATAAAAGACAAATTTCTTGACCTCAAGTGCCTTACAGAAGTAACATAATATCACAAGTTCCGGTCATGTTTTAGTTTCTCTTCCATAATTTTAACATACTGGAAAAAGAGATTTTGCAGGGAAGTAGTAAGATCTGTCAGATAGGAATCAGATCCAGTGTTTTATGGTTTGATAGAATACATGGAAATAATATGAGAAGAGACTGGGGGGAGAGGTAGAAGCATGTTTGAAACCACATAGTAACTCAGACCTTGAAAATAACTATTCTCTAAGGCTTCAAGTTCTCTTCACTTCACACCTAATTTCTCAGTGAATACATCCATATTTTGAAACATTGGATTCAGGAAATCAAATTATTACTAGTCTGGTGATTAAATTGCTCTATCCATCTGCTAGTATATTGTCATTATTCTTTGAGCTTTGCTTGATGATAACAAAAATTATAAATCACTTGTATTAAATCCAGGCAATTATTGTATAAAATCTTGTAGAAAAAAATGAATGCTTGAACTTGATTTTTTTCTGTCTTAAAAGCAAAACAAAATATGAAATGCAATATAATCAAGTTTAATATTGGAGTATATTTTCAGAAATGGTGGTGTCCAATGATGTCTCCACGCAGCTGGACTTTTTCTTGGATGCTCTTTTGGTTGACATTGAATCCACAGAGATTTCTGGCTTCATGGATGGCCAAACACTGGTAAGGTCATGATGTTCATTTAATTAGTGTGACTGGGTCTACTCCCACAATAATTTCAATGTTTTAAGAGCACTTGTCAATCTTCTTTATTCACTAAGAATCTTTGTTATTTTAGGATAGACTACTTCTAAAGTTACAGAACAATAATTGTGGTTATCATCTAAAAATCAAAGTTATTTCTAAGTTATTTGTATGATATACAAAAAATGATAGGACTGAAATAAAAAATATGGTAAAGTTATATTAGAATCTTATTCTCCTTTGCTTGCTATATCATTGTTACATAAAATGAAAAGCAGCCTCATTGTAAAACCAGCCTTTCCACTTTATTAATATAAACAGAACTAAGCTTTATTTAAAAAATATTTAAAATATTAAACATTTAACTACTTAATATCTTTAAAATATTAAAATATTATTTGAATGCTTCCTATTTGTACAAAGTAACGTGTAGGAGGTCTTTCCCCTCAAAGCATTCACCATCTAGCACTGTTTCTCCACATTAATAACACAAACGTGCTTTTTTCAAGCTCTCATAGTATTTTATATCTTTTTTCAGAGCTTATTCACTCTTCATGGTATACTTATTTTTAAAATAATTTGTTTAGCATCCAACTTTACGGCTAGACTCCAAACTCCATGTGGATGAAAAGAATGTACCTTTTGTTAGTGTCATATTCCTAGTGCCTGAGTGATGAGCACATCACTGACATTCTGTATAGAATTCATGACTGACTCATGCAGACTGTGTGAATTGTTACGAGAGGTACAATCTAAAGAAAGATTATTAAGGAGGTGCAAATTACTGTGTGGAATCTGTGTTAGTTTGGAAAAGTGTTTCAGATTTAAATGACTTGAAATTGGAAAAGAGAGAATGGATAGGCCAAAAAAGAATAGCATGTTCAATGTTTTGAGGCAACTCAGGAGGAATAAATATTTATGAAACAGTGAATTACTCAGGACCACTAGAACCCGTGTTAGTCAGGAAGTGGGAGTGTGGGGTGGCAGTGAGACCTTGAAAAGAACACCTGAGTCAGATTATTAGAAAACGAGGAATTTTAAGTTTTTATTTAATAATTGTTGAGAAATTTTGGGGGATTGTAGAATTTTGGTTAAATGGCTAAAATAAATTACATTTTAGTTGTATATCTTCCCAACTGAAAGAAAGAAAACGTTGTTTAAAGGCAAAATAAACTTTTTTAAGTTCAGGAACTATACGTTTTAGCCTTGGTAAGTAGAGTAACTTGGCATAGTTCCTAGCATGTTTTAGGCATTGGGCATATATTCCTGATTAGAAGGTCATTTGAATTTGTTAACTGAAATAATGTTCTGAAAGTGATGAAGTGATTCTTGCTTTGTACAATAGGTAGATAAGATGTAGGTAACTAAGTAGGTAGATAAGAAGACAATAATTTAACAGTCATTAGATGAATAAGTAAAAATTAATATATACACATGAACAAAAAACACAAATGCACACACTTAACCACACACATATAGACATGCATACACACAGACATACCCACAGAAGTACACATTTGCACGTACAAGTACATGCCACATACACAAACACACAGACATCCACACACATATGTGAGAAAGACAAATATTAGGATCATTCTATAGAAAACACAGACAAAACTCACAGAATATCAAGGAAGATAATATCAGAAGGGCAGAAAAAGAACAGAAGGAAGATAATTTGAAACACGTTAAAAAATAAAGAGTTCAGTCTGCATGATTAAGGGTTCATTCTAAGCAGATTATCACGTTGTAGGCAGATTTCCCGAACTCATATTGTGCATTGCCAAATACTTATCCATCACATACTACCTACACTAGAATCTGGGCCTGGGGACAGCTGGCATATAATATTTACCAAATATAATGTTTATTTTTTCCCTTACAGAATCAAATGTCTGTTTTAAAGAAAAGGAAAAGTATAGAAAAACAAGAAACACAATCCATTGCCAGAACCCAACATTAAGTATACTAACAGTTGGGTTTTAAAAACATTTTCATTCTAATTTTTAAATCTATACAACAGGTGTTTCATGCTAACTTGTTGGGGCAGCACTCTCTGAGGTGGGCGGCTTCACAGGTATGGTCCACTCCGGGTCTTAGAATTTGCCACTTGTTAAGAGCCCCGTCAGCCCGAGGTGGAGGGGAAGCCGGGAGGAAAATGGCAGCCAAGGCTGCATCGGGCGGCGAAGAGGGCAGTGTACCCAGGGAGCGGGGCGCTGGCCAGGCCAGGCTGGGAATGGAATCTGTCCCTAGCAGCGAGGCTGGCACTGACCCCCTCCCAGTCACAGCCACTGAAGCGTCTGTGCCCGACCGTGGGGCCGACGCCCAGGAGAACGCTCCTCAGGCCGTGCTGCTGCCCCCGCTGCGGGGAGCTTGCCCGCAGCCCGGACGTGGCGGGGCCGGAGCTGGAGGCTGAGGGGAAGCTGCTGGAGAGGGTGAGGGATCCGCAGCAGCCACCCCTCTCAAGAGTCTGACCTTCCCCGCCTTTTCCTGCACCTCCTCTGAAACACCCCCAGCTCCTGAGGAGCGCTAGGAGACGCCGTTTGCCTCCTCCCGCAGCCCGGCGGGGGCGGCAAGGTGGGGACTCCTTGGTGTGGCAGCTGACCCCGGGCTCGGAGGTGCAGGTCACGCTGCATTGAGGATGTGCTTATCTTGTCGTCCTCCGTCGGGTAGAAGCTCTTCTCCGGGGTCTTCGTGGATCTGTTCAAAAGAGATCATGAAACATTTGGTGCTATAGCCCAACTTTTGGTGGGAAACATATGCAGCTCTTCTGGTGATGCTGTTTGGGCCCGCATCCCTGTGACAGTATTTCCCAAAAGGGACTATAAAGATAACTCACAAGCCATGTAGCTTCAACGTCATACATTCCAAGAAGGGACGGAAGTCAAGTGTGAAGTTCATGGTACTGTTCCCAGTGACCTTTCTCCTGCCCTGCCTCATGTGCTAAGCTTGCCTGAAAGCCTGTGGACTTCCAAACCATCACCTCTTTCCCACGAAGGACCACCTTATCCTCCCTGCTTTATCAGAATCCATCTAACCAATCAGTACCTCAGCCCTCTCCTCAGAAAATTAAGCTGCCCAAACGAAAATATCTGGGGAAGAACCCACTTCAATAATAAATCCCATTAAACTATGACCTAGGCAAGTCCTATGCGATAAATGTTTAAAAAAAAATGCTGTTGTTGAAAACAAAATTAGAAAAGGTAGTAATGGAAGTGACTGCTAAATATGACGGTAAAAAACAGAGATATGAAAATGTACCTACTGTGAACAAAAAACTAAAAACTGGCCATAAAGTGGATGGAAAAACCCAAAATGAAAGCCAGAGAAGAAATACTGTGGTTATGGTTTCAGATACTGCTCACAGAAGAGGCAGAGTAGTAAATGTTTCTGCTCAGGCAGATAGGTCAAAAGCTCAGTTAAGTAATAACAAACTGCTCTAGAGTAAGAACATGGATCATGCAAAAGCTCAGGGAATTCTCAAAAATTGCCAAGGAAATGGCATGAAAGAAGCAAACTGAAACCTCTACTCCAAAAATGCACATTCAAAAGTCCATTTCACGGGTCAATATCAGAATCCTAGTCAGATGCCCTTCTGCCTGGGTTTCATTTAAAACCACAGAGGTACAGGAATGAAGAAAATGACTCGAGAAAGTGTGGAGTGGAGAAGTGGTCCTCAACTCCAGTCTTGCTGCACCTCTATGCGCTCACCAGGTGAGGGCCTTCTGAAAATCAGAGTCCCTGAAAAGGCCTGGAAGAGGCCAGCAGTGAGAGGTTCAGGACCCAACTGAAATGCATGCTCTTGGTGAACAAGATGAACCATAGACATTGGACAAAAAGGGCAGCAAAAGCATTATCTCTGGCCTTAAACCAAAAGAAATCTGACTCTTCCCGTGCTTCAGTGTGTAGCATTGATAGCATAGATGATTTGAAATCATCCAACTCTGAATGTAGCTCCTCAGAAAGCTTTCATTTGCCTCCAGGCAGTATGCATGCACCTTCCAAATCCTTCACTTCTTTCTCGTCAAAGGAAGAGAAAAAGTTCAGTAATTCCTTGAAAATGAATCTTCCAAAATTGTCTCTAAATGCATCACACCACATGGCAGGACCATATGTGTTGGGGAGATTGTTTCGGCCAAGATACATGACTTCCCTTGGTGCCAACCCCTGTTCTTACTGAAGATAATGGCCTTTTATTCATATAGGAGGACTGTAATTTATGGTTCAATTCTCCAGCATATTTTTTTCTCTTTTGTACCTTTCTCACTTTTTAGAAAACTTCCAGACACACTTGAATAAGAAGAGAAGGGGCCTGTATTGCAAGGCTATTACAGAGGCGGCTAAGACTGCCAAGCAGCTGACCTCCGAAGTACAGGCTCTGAAGTAAAGGCTCCATTGACAGTTTGAAACATAAACACAGTAAGGTAGGCAAGACCATTGGAAGTCATCATAGATTTTCAGTCTATTTAGGAATAATTTCTACTACAAACTTGGCCAAATTGGAGAGAGATTGCACTTAGTTGGCTATTTTAAGAAATACTTACCTTATAGCAAATTTTAGACTCAGAAGCTTAAACTGAACATGCAATCAAAATTTTGTCTTAAGGAAGTGAGATTTTAGCAATATTTTTTAGTTTTGAAGTCTAAAACCATTCCAAGGCATAGGAACCATAGCCTCAAATTGAAATTGAATTTTCATGAGGACTGTTAATTGTTATTTGTACCTAATACCATGTGTGTGTGTGTCTATGTAAAGTATAGCCTGTGACTATGGAACATGGACACAGGCTGCATATTGGGGATTGCTGTAAGGGCTGGTAAGGTGGGGGAATAGTGTGGATATTTAATGACTACTTGTTTTTACTTTATTTTTATTTCAGTAGCTTTAGGGGTACAATTGGTTTTTGGTTACATGGATGAACTGTATAGTGGTGAAGTCTACCATTTTATTGTGCCTGTTACCTGATTAGTGTACATCAAACTGCTGGGGTGATCAGACCCAACACCAGGTCGTGGGGGCTACGAAGTCCGGCAGAGTCAAAGAATTGAGTAAAAGACAGTTTGAGAAGTAAAGTGGGACTGGGGGCCATCGCGATTGTGGAGGCTGTGAAGGCCCCTAGCTCTGGGAGCCCACGCTATTTATTGGTAATCCAACAAAGAAACAGGTGGTGAGAATGTGGGGGTCAAAAAGGCAGGTGCATGATCTGCAGCTGTGATGATTTAGCATTTACATGGAACATGTTCTGCTACTTGAGAAAATGGGAAGGCGATTGATCCAGGAGCCTAGTGTGTCCGGAATTGGTGGGTTCTTGGTCTCAGTAACTTCAAGAATGAAGCCATGGACCCTCGCGGTGAGTGTTACAGTTCTTAAAGATGGTGTGTCCAGAGTTTCTTCCTTCTGGTGGGTTTGTGGTCTCGCTGACTTCAGGAGTGAAGCTGCAGACCTTCGCGGTGAGTGTTACAGCTCTTAAAGACAGCACGTCTGGAGTTGTTCATTCCTTCCGGTGGGTTCGTGGTCTTGCTGGCCTCAGGAGTGAAGCTGCAGACCTTCGCGGTGAGTGTTACAGTTCATAAACATGGCACGTCTGGAGTTGTTAGTTTCTCCCATCCAGAGTTGTTCATTCCTCCTGGTGGGTTCTTGGTCTTGCTGGCTTCAGGAGTGAAGCTGCAGACCTTCGCAGTGAGTGTTATAGCTCATAAAGGCGACCGGACCTAAAGAATGAGCAGCAGCAAGATTTATTGTGAAGAGTGAAAGAACAAAGGTCCCACAGCGTGGAAGGGGACCCAAGTGCGTTACCGCTGCTAGCTGGGGTGGTCTGCTTTTATTCCCTTATTTGACCCCACCCACAGCCTGCTGATTGACCCATTTTACAGAGAGCTGATTGGTCCATTTTACAGAGAGCTGATTGGTCCATTTTGACAGAGAGCTGATTGGTGCGTTTACAATCCTTTAGCTAGACACAAAAGTTCTCCAAGTCCCCACCCGATTAGCTAGACACAGAACACTGATTGGTGCGTTTACAAACCTTTAGCTAGACACAGAGTGCTGGTTGGTGCATTTACAATCCTTTAGCTAGACAGAAAAGCTCTCCAAGTCCCCACTCATCCCAGAAGCCCAGCTGGCTTCACATCTTACTGGCACTTGCGGCGGGACTTTGCAGCACCTAGCCCAGGCACTCTGGCGCTCAGAGGGAGCTCCTCCCAGACAATCAATAGGAAAAGAGGGCAAATGAGAAAGAGATGGAGACCCGCCATCTTGGCCAACGACCCTGCGAAGAGGGAACGGCCGTTCACGCATGGGACCCAGCCTCCCATCAAGCCCAGCAGGCGCCAGCTGGCTGTGCCTAGTGTGGGGCCTGCCAAGCCTGCGCCCACCCAGAACCCTCACAGGCCCACCCTGTGAGCGCTGTGTGCAGCCCTGGCTCCCACCCGCACCTCTCTTTTCACACTTCCCCGCGAGCAGAGGGAGCGAGCTCCAGCCTCAGCCAGCCCCATAGAGGGGCCCTCATAGCGCAGTGGCTGGCTGAAGGGCTCCTCGAGTGTGGCTAGAGCAGACACTGAGGCCGAGGAGGCACTGAGAGTGAGCGAGGGCTGCTAGCACATTGTCACCTCTCATTAGGAGGGCCAGAAGCAAGGAGCCAGCAAGTCTAGACAGATTCCAGAAGATACTATGCAAGCCCTGCCTCAGCTTTCTTCCCAAAGCTCAGCTTTTTCCCAGCATCAAACCCAATATGTGGTTTTTCAGTTCTCATTCCCTACAACCTTACCCCCTTCTGAGTCTCCAGTATCCTTTATACCAGTCTATATGTCCTTGTGTACCCATAAGTTAACTCCCACTTATGAGTGAACATGCTGAATCTAGTTTTTGATTCGTGAGTTACTTCATTTATAATTATGGCCTCAAGTTCCATCCAAGTTGCGCAAAAGACAATATTTCATTCTTTTTTATGGCTGAACAGTATTTCGTGGTGTGTGTGTGTGTGTGTGTGTGTGTGTGTGTGTATACACACACCACATGTTATTTATCCACTCATTGGTTGATGAGCACTTAGGTTGATTCCGTATCTTTGCAATTATGAATCATGCTGTGATAAACACACATATGCTGGTGGTGTCTTTTTGATACAGTGACTTCTTTTCCTTTGGGTAGATAATAGTAGGATTGCTGGACCAAATGGTAGGTCTACTTTTAGTTCTTTGAGAAATTTCCATACGGTTTTCCATAGAGGTTGTGCTAATTTACATTCCCACAAACTGCGTGTAAGCATTCCTTTTTCATCACATCAACGCTAACATCTATTGTTTTTTAACTTTTTAGTAATGGCCATTCTAGTTGGGGTAAGGTGGTATTTTACCGCCTTAATTTGCATTTCCCTGATGATTATTGATGTTGAGGAGTTTTTCATGTTTCTTGGCAATTTGTATATCTTCTTTTGAGGAATCTCTAGCCATGTTCCTTGCCCACTTTTAAATGGGATTATTTTGTTTTTCTCTTACTGATTTGTTTGAGTTCCTTATAAATTGTGGATATTTGTCCTTTGTTGGATGCATTGTTTACAAACATTTTCTCCCATTCTGTGGGTTTTCTGTTTACTCTGATGAGTTTTTTCTTTTTCTTTTCTTTTCTTTTTTTCTTTTTTTTCTATGCAAAAGCTTTTGTTTAATAGGTCCCATTTACTTATTTTTATTTTTGTTGCATTTGCTTTTGGGGTCTTAGTCATAAATTCTTTGCCTAGGCCAATGTCCAGAAGAGTTTTTCCTAGGTTTTCATCTAGAATTTTTATGGTTTTAGATCCTAAATTTAGATCTTTAACCTATCTTGAGTTAATTTTTTATGTAGTGAGAGATAAAGATCCAGTTTCATTCTTCTATATGTGGCTATCCAATTTTCCCAGCACTGTTTATTGAATACAGTATCCTTTTCCCAGGTTATATTATTGTATGCTTTGCCAAAGATCAGCTGGTTGTAGGTATTTGGCTTTATTTATGGGTTCTCTATTATGTTCCATAGGTCTATGTAACTACTTTTATACTAGTACCATGCTATCTTGGTTACTGTAGCCTTGTAGTATAATTTGAAGTTGGGTAATGTTATGCCTCTAGATTTCTTCTTTTAGCTTAAGATTTCTTTGGCTATTTAGGCTCATTTTTGGCTCCAGATGAATTTTGGGATTGTTTGTCTAATTCTGTGAAAAATACTGTTGTTATTTAACATTTTTATTAGAATTGCATGAATCTGTAGATTGCTTTGGGAAGTATGGTCATTTTCACAATATTGATTCCTCCAATTTATGAGCATGGGATGTATTTCCATATGTTTGTGTCATCTATGATTTCTTTCAGCAGTGTTTTAAAGTTCTCCTTATAGAGATTGTTCATCTCCTTAGTTAAGTATATTCCTAGGTGTTTAATTTTTTTCTAAATATTGTAAAAGGGATTGAGTACTTGATTTGAATCTCAGCTATGTCATTTTTGGTGTATAGCAGTGCTGCTGATTTGTGTACATTGATCTTGTAACCAGATACTTTCCTGATATCATTGATCAGATCTAGTAGTCTCTTGGAGGAATCTTTAGGGTTACAAGATCATATCATCAGCCGAGTTTGACTTTCTCTTTCCCAATTCTGAAGTCCTTTATTTATTTATTTTTCCTGATTACTCTGGCTAGGACTTCCAGTACTATGTTGAATAGAAGTGGTGAAAGTGGGCATCCTTGTCTTGTTCTGGTTCTTAGGGGGAATTCTTTCAAATTTTCTATGTTCAGTATAATGTAGGCTGCGAGTTTTTTATATACGGATTTTATTATCTTGAAGTGTGTTCCTTCTGTGCCTAGTTTGTTGAGGATTTTTATCATAAAACAATGCAGGATTTTATTGATTGCTTTTTCTGCATCTACTGAAGTGATCATATGGTTTTTGGTTTTAATTCTGTTTGTGTAATGAATTTCATTTATTGTCTTGTGTATATTGAATCATCCATGCATCCCTGGAATGAAACCTACTTGATTATGAAGAATCATTTTTTTGATGTGCTGCTGGATTCAGTTAACTAGTATTTTGTTGAGGATTTTTATATCTATATTTATCAAGGATATTGGTTTGTAGTTTTCTTTTTTTGTTATCTCCTTTCCTGGCTTAGTATCAAGGTGATACTGGCTTCGTATAATGAGTTAGGGAGGATTCCATCCTTTTCAATCTTTTGGAATAGTTTCAGTAGAATTGGTACCAGTTCTTCTTTGAATGTCTGGTAGAATTTGGCTGTGAACCCATCTGGCCCTGGGCTTTTTGTGTGTGTGTTGGCAGCTTTTTTTTTTTAATTACTGATTTGCTCTCACTGCTTGTTATTGGTCTGTTCAGGATTTCTATTTCTTTCTGATTCCAGCTAAAGAAGTCCTAAATTTATCCATTTCTGCTAGATTTTCCAGTTTTGCATAGAGGTGTTTATGTATAATCGAATGACCTTTTGTATTTCTGTGGTGTCAATTGTAATGTCTCCATTTTTATTTCTCATTGAGCTTATTTGAATATTTCTTCTATTCTTTGTTTACCTAGCTAGTGGTCTATCAATTTTGTTTATCCTTTCAAAGAACCAGCTTTTTGTTTCATTGATCTTTTGTATTTTTTTGTTTCAATTTCATTTAGTTCTGCTGTTGTCTTTGATATTTATTTTCTTCTGCTAGCTTTGAATTTGGTTTGTTCTTCTTTCTCTAGTTACTTGAGGTGTGACATTTGCTTGTCAGTTTGTGATCTTCCAGACTTTTTGATGTAGGCATTCAGTGCTGTAAACTTTCCTCTTAGCACTGCTTTTATTGTATCCCATAGGCTTCATAACTTGTGTCACTAGTATCATTCATTTTGAGAATTTTAAAAATTTCTATATTGGTTTTATTTTTAATCCAGAAATAATTTAGGAGCAGATTGTTTAATTTCCATGTACATGTATAGTTTTGAGGATTTCTTTTGGAATTGATTTCTAATTTTATTCTGCTCTGCTCTGAGAAGATACTGGCTGTGATTTCAATTTTTAAAAATTTATTAAAACTTGTTTTGCAACCCATCGTATGATCTATCTTGGAGAATGTCCCATGTGCTGGTAAGAAGAATGTATAGTTCACAGTTCTTGCATAAAGTGTTCTGTAGGTATCTGTTAGGTTCCATTTGTTCTAGAGTGCAGTTTAAGTTCAGTATGTCTTTGTTGACTTTTTGCCTTGATGATTTGTCTAGTGCTGTCAGTGGAGTGTTGAAGTGCTCCGCTCTGACTGTGTTGCTGTCTATCTCTTTTCTTAGGCTTAGTAGTAATAGCTTTATGAATCTAGGAGATCTACAGTTAGGTGTATATATAGTTAGGATTATTATATATTTGTGTTGAACTGATCCTTTTATTATTGTATGACTTTGTCTTTTTTTTTTGCTTAAAAATTATTGTTGCTTTAAAGTCTGTTTTATCTAAGAATAGCAATTTCTGTCACTTTGGTTTACATTTGCATGAAATATCTTTTTCCACCCCTTTATCTTGAGTCTGTAAGGATCCTTTACATGTTAGATGTGTCTCCTGAAGATAGCAGATATTTGGTATGTGATTCTTAAAAATCCATTCTGCCAATTTGTATCTTTTAAATTGAACATTTAGGCCATTTATGTTCAATGTTAATATTAAGATGTGAGGTAATGTTCCAGTGATCACATTGATTGTTACCTAGTGACTTTGTTTCCTTCATTGTGTTATTGTTTTACAGGCCATTTGAATTTTATGCTTCCAGTGGTTCCATTCTGTTGTGTTCCAACCTTTTGTTTCAAGATATATAATTCCTTTTAATGTTTATTGTAGGGCTAGTCTGGTATTGATAAATTCCCTCAGCCTTTGTTTGAGAAAGGCTGTTTCTTCATCATTTATGACACTTAATTTTGCTGGAAACAAAATTCTTGGCTGACAATTATTTTGTTTATGGAGACTAAAGATAGGACCCCACTTCCTTCTGGCCTGTAAGTTTCCTGCTGAGAAATCTGTTAGTAGTCTGATAGATTTTCTTTTAGAGGTTACCTGATGTTTTTGTCTCACTGCTCCTAAAATTATTTTCTTTACATTGACTCCAGATAGCCTGATGATTATATGCCTTGGTGATTTCTCTCCTTTTTTGCAATGAATTTCCCAGGAATTATATGAGCTGCTTCTATTTGGATGTCTAAATCACTAGCAAGACCCAGTAAATTTTACTCAATTATTATTTTAAATAGGATTTCCAAACTTTTTGTATTTTCTTCTCTCTCAGGAACATGTATAATTCTTAGGTCTGGCCAGTTTACATAATTTCATATTTTTTGGAGACTTCATTCACTTATTTTCATTATTTTTTTTATTTTTGTCTGGTTGGGTTAATTCAAAAGCCTCGTCTTTGAGCTCTGAAATACTTTCTTCTACTTGGTTTAGTTTGTTGTTAAAACTTTCCACATCATTTCATAGTTTCCTAAATGTGTATTTCATTTCCAGAAGTTCTGTTTCTTTTTCTCTGAAATATCTATCTCTTTAGAAAATTTTTCATTCATATCCTGAATTGTTTTAAATATTTTTAATGTTGACTTTCACCTTTCTCTCTATCTCCCTAAGTAATAACCTTTTGAATTCTTTATCTGGCATTTTAAATATTTCATATTTATTTGGATCAACCGCTGGAGAGTCCAGAAAGATAATTCTGGTAATATGAAAAAACAGGGTTCTATAACACCCCCTGAAGATCACACTAACTCACCAGCAATGGATGCACTATGCTTCACAAATATGCTAAAGGATTAATTGACAGTGACAAAACCAACATGTAAAAAATAGATGCGGTGGCTCACGCCTGTAATCCCAGCACTTTGGGAGGCCAAGGTGGGTGGATAACGAGGTCAAGAGATCAAGACCATCCTGGCCTCATGGTAAAACCCTGTCTCTACTAAAAATATAAAAATTAGCTGGGTGTGGTGGCACATGCCTGTAGTCCCAGCCACTTGGGAGGCTGAGGCAGGAGAATTGCTTGAACCCAGGAGGTGGAGGCTGCAGTGAGCCAAGATCATGACACTGCACTCCAGCTTGGCAACAGAGCAAGACTCCATCTCAAAAAATAAATAAATAAATAAAATACACTATTGTTTATTTAAACATACATAAATACAACCAATTCTATAATGACACATAAAATACTTAACTTCTATGTGTATTCTCAGTAAGAAGGGTGAAAAACTCTTTCCTCTGTTAACATAGGCTCTGGCTTGGAGTAGGGAGGACAGTGGGATGCTAAAGAGAATACCTGAGTTAGATTATTAGGATCTGATATGCAGGGTGGGTTTGATTGTAACAATTTCTCATGTTTTTTTGTTCATCTGAGAATACCTTGATTTTCCTTCCAGTCCTGAAAAATATTCTGCTGGCTATAGAATTCTGGATTGGTAGTTTATTTTTTTTCAGTTCTTAGAAAATGTGTCACTTCCTTCTAACCTCTGTGGTTTCTGATAAGAAACCCATTGTAATTCAAATTATTTTTCCCTAGAGATAAAGTGTAGTTTCTCTCTCACTGCTTTCAAGATTTGTCTTTGTCTTTATTTTCCAAAGTTTGAGCATTATGTGTTTTGCTGTGGTTTCTTTGAGTTATACTATTGTCATTCATCCAGCTTCTTGATTATAAAGATTTATTTCTTTTGCCAAATTTGGAAATATTTTTCACATATTTCTTTAAGTTTTTAGCTCCATACTCCTTATTCTCTTCCCCTGGAACTCTGATGACACAAATGTTAGCTAGTTTCTTTTTGTCCCACAAGTCCCTCTGACTGTGTTTATTTTATATTTTTAGTCTATTTTCTCTCTGTTGCTCACATTTGACAATTTATATTTTCTATCTTCAAGTCCATTGATTGTTTCATCTTCCCTCTCCATTTTGTTGTTGAACACATCCATTTATATTTTTAAAAAATCAGTCATATTTTTCAATTCTTAAATTTCTATCTAATATTCTTTATATCTTCTCTCTCTTTGCTGAGATGTATTTTTTGTTTCTGAGTCTTTGTATTTTTTAATTGGCCCCAGCATGTTCATAATTGCTAATTGAAGCAGTCTTATGATGGTTGCTGTAAAGTCTTTGTCAGTTAATCCTAATATCTCTCTCATCAGTGTTGACTTCTATTAATATTTTCTTCATTCACTTCGAGAATTTTCTAATTCTTAAAGTAATCAGTGACTTTTGTTTGAAACTTGGAAGCTTCTGTTATTAGGTATGAGACTCTGGATCTTACTTATATCTTTGTTTTAGCTGACTTCTTTGACGCCACTCTCTCGGGACAGTTGGAGAGGGGGATTCAGTGCTGTTGCTTTGTAAGTGCTGTTAGGTGAGAGTGGAAATCTAGGCTCCCTACTCAGCCTAATAACACCTGGGGGAGGAGCTTCTCATTACTGCTGGGCAGAGATGGGAATTCTGGCTCCCCAGGTGAAATCTACTCATACTTTTCTGACTAAGATGGCTAGGAGTGCCTCTTTACTGCTCCCACATTCCTCTACTGACACTGTGGAGAGAGTGACCTCATTTGCTCCAGGAGGTGGTGAGAATACTGACTTTCCACTAACCCCTTCAGGCACCACCCTCTGCAGATAGAGGAGGGGACACCTTATTATTACTATTAATAGATGGGAGTAGATAGTCAGATTCCTCTCTGACTTTGTTGATGAGGAAGGGGATAAGACCACCATTCTTCTTATGATGTTTGGCTTGAGTCAGGCAGTTATTGCTGAAGGTGTCTTGCTAGGCTGCCCATTCTGGTTTGTTGTTGTTGTTGTTCTTGTTGTTTTGTTTGTTTAGGAAGATTAAGATTTTTCTGTGGCTTTTATTTTATTTTATTTTTCCTGTATCTGTTGGATTGCCAGCCTCTTCAGCTCCAAGTCTGGGATACATGTGGTGAAAAAAGAAAACCCAAGGAACTTGCCATCATGGTGTTCCTTGGGTCCTTATGTTCCCAGCTGCTAGCTGTTCTGCCTTTTTTCTTTGTTTGTTTTTCCTATTTATCAGGCTTGCTCTCTTTGCTTTTATATAACAATGCCAGGGTTTTTAGTTGTACATTGTGGAGGAATAGGGAAATTTTTGCCTACTCCGTTTTCCCACATGACAGAATTGAGCAAATAGATTTTGAGAAAAGAATTTGAGTTTATTAATGGAAAAGCAGAAGGCTGAAAAGTTACTTACAGTCTGCACATCAACTGAAACTCTGTGCAGAGATTGGTAATCACTCATATTCATTTTCACTCAGAATTATCAAGAAACAGACTGAAAGCCATATATTAAATCACAGTAACAATTATCTGACCAGTTTCTTTAAGAGGAATTTGTTAAATAGTCTTTGTCAGCAATTCCTACCAATAGAACAGGTTTTCATTGGATTCTGCTTAAATAATCCAAATCAAGTTGTAACTTGAAAAAGTCTTTTAAGATATCTTTAATCTTTCATTGATATAGGTAATAATAAACCTCTTAACATGTTATAAGTGTTAAATAGGCATTTAGTTGCTTTACTGAAGATCTTCTATGTAGGTAACATTGCCTTTTAAGTAATAGTTTTAAAGGCAGCTTGAGTTTATTTCATTTCCTTTTATTTCTTTCAAAGGGTAAATAGTTCCAGCCCTAGAATAGAAATGCATACTCTCTTGGGACTCCTCAGATGAGTAGCCAAAGGGAGAACTGCTTGGCTACATACAATTTAACATATTTTTAAGCGAAATCATACATATCCAAATGTGGGTTCTGGCAGTTTGGGATATCATGTCACTATGAGGAATTCCCAAAGGCACTCTGAAATGCTCATGGAATTACTGTGTTACAGCAGTCAACATAGTAGGCATAGTTTCTCTATAGTCATAACAAAGTATGATCTGTGTAATATACTTTGTGTAGTAAGTAATACAAGTGTAATATAAAACAGAAGACTAATTTTGCTTAATTTTTAAGTGTACCATATGTGATAAAATATGGCCAAATTGTAATTATTTTCATGAAAATATAGATAAATTCCAGCATTTAAAAAGCCTGTAATTTGTTGTGAACTTTGAAGCTATGCATGTGATGTGTTCTAGTTTATTATATATAATCAATTATGGAAAAGTTAAAAAATAACCAAATATTCTAGGAAATAATTGTTTTTTTGGGAAGAAACCAGTCATCCAAAAAAAATTTCCAACAAATATGTTCTGCCATGTTAAGCTAAGCATTTGCATTGTTTAATTCAGGAGTTGCAAATCCCAGGTTCATGGAACCAGATTCTATCTGTTGTTGCACCTTAATCTGCTACTGTATTCCACAGTTATTGATTATACCCTTATCTGACATTGTCCCTTAGAAAATGCAGCTTGTGAACACCAGATGAGAAAACATACTTGAATAACTGGAAAATCTAAATCTACTCATATTGGACCAGTAACACTAATTTTTTTTTATTTATGTCGAGAAAATTTACATAATTAAATGGAATAGCTGAGGTTTGTATAAATGTTAAATACAATGAAACACTTAACAAAGTCTCTGGTCCTAATCAGTAATGGGCATCTGCCCCCAGGACACATCCACTTGTTTAAGATTTTGCTTAAGTTCATATCCAAAAGTGTAATGCTATCCTTTTTAAAATTTTCCAATACCATTATGTATATTTTCACTTTGCCTAATCCATTTGGCCTTAACTCACAGTTTAAATTAATATTCATTGAACACATATATTGTCTAAGACAGTGTACTATTTCTGCAAGACATATAGGGATGAAGTACACACACAGCCTGATTTCAAGAATTCCAGTAAGTGAGCCTCCAAACCCCGCACCACCTTAGTGTACATTTATCTCTCATTCTAAACACAAAATGAAAGGAACCAGGAAAAATGGAAATCTGTCAGCCTAAGAGAAGAAGCTACACCACAGCTGAGTAGGTCTGGGTAAAGAAGCTGTTTTGGATTGATGAGGATGAGCCCAACTGATTCTCTTACAAGAAAGTCTAAACCACAAATCTTGTGTTAATCGTTAATCATTCTCATAGCCTCGGGGGATTCCTAACTAGGGAATCCTAAACCCCTAACTAAATACTTTCTTAGACTGAAATGATGTTGAGCCCTGAATGGGTAATGCCAGTAGGCTTGAGAATCTATTTGTTGCCATGACCCATTACCAAGGGAATAATTGTGCAAGGGAGAATCACAAACATAGCTTGGAAGGAAAAAGGAGAAAAAGATAAAGAGAAAGGACACAAGTTATGGCCTTAGCTTGACTATATTTTCCCTCAGGGGAAATGTTCTTGGTGGTGTGAAATCTTAGAAATATTAAGTTCTCCCCATGGCTTCTTCTCAACAAGCCCAACAAACATGTAACTTTCCTAGTTTCCTCTTCTACCTGTGACCACAGCAAATTTCTCTATCAACTCTAGGGGTAAATTGCAGTCACATTTATTTATATTCCCAACAAATGCCTTAAGTACTTATCTGCCTCGTTGACTGGTAACTTCCAGAAATTTTTAGAAATGCTAGATTTTTTTTTCCCTATTCAAACTAGTGTGTGCCTTGTTTTCACACACTGAAGCAGAGTGAGAACTCTGGTATGATTAATCTGCCATTGCCACTGTATTTGCCAGCAGTTCCATTGTGAAAGAGTGGTTCTACACAATTTGACAGTTAATAACTATGCCCTGCTCTCATGAACCTTGGCTGATCTAGGACTGCATGTGTGCAGCCAAAAGTGCTGGATGTACCTTAAGTTCTAGTTCTGAAGTGAGATCTTTCTGTGCACACATGTAGCCATTTCTCAGAAGAGCTCAGGACTGACAGCAATGTCTGCTGCTTCGCAGGGCCCCAGCCACTATCTCTTGTCCTTTATGGAGCCACATATAGATGTTAGCCTTTTTCTTTTAAACCAAATGTTGCAAACAATGGCCTATTGCCCAAATATGGTCAGGAAATATTTTTAGTTTGAAATGCACCATGTTGCTATTGCTGTTCCCTTTAGATAATTTGAATCCCTTAGGTAAGATTATATACACTTCTGATCACCACAGTTATAATTTCTGCTTATGGCCTTGATGTCTGCTCTGGGTTTAATTATGTTAACTCTCTGGCCTCTGCAGGCATTTGATTGTGTGACCCCTGCTTTTAACCTTCGAAATGCAAAGAAAACACTGTATACCTTATTTTCCTCCAAAATGTGGCTGCTGACCCAGCCTCCGGAAGTAGGTCATTTTCAATGATTTATCCTTCCATGGGATAACAGATTGCAATGTATCTACACCTGTGCTCCTAAGACCAGTAAAAAATACCATGTTATTTATGCCATCTTTCTAAAAGCGGTGAGTCCAAGGAGATTCTCTGCCACATTTTTACAGGAAAGACAATGAAGCAAATTTAATCACCATTATGTCATAATATGCACGTTATAAATATAGAGGGGAAAAACCACATTGTATTCTATGTTACTATTACTTTTTCTGTGGCTTATAAATTCTTGGTGGTTAAAGTAAATTATGTGTGTTTTACTGCATGATTTTTGGTATAACATATTGGGTATATGGTGTCTTACTTAGGGTTGTTTGATAACCAGTACAATGATACTGTTATTTATAATTGTCACTATTCTAAATTTTATTACCTAAGTTGTAGAACAAAGGTTAAAATATTGCTATATTAGAGAAATAAAAATAATTGTGAACTGTGAATTAAGGAGAACTCTCTTTTCTCTATGATAGGAATATCAAATAGAGGCTGATTTTGGAGGAGACTCTTTATTCATTCTGTCCAACTAGAAAGGAGATTTTGGGTTATTGTCAGAATCAGAGTACTCTAGATGCCTCTACTTACAAATTCCCTTGAAGTCTGTACCCATATAGTTTACAGTTTATTTTTTGTGTGAGTACATATTAGGTGTATATGTTTTTGGGGTACATGAGACGTTTTGATACAGGCATGCAACGTGAAATCAGTACATCGTGGAGAATGGAATATCTATCCCCTCAAGCATTTATCCTTTGAGTTACAAACAATCCAATTACATTTTTTAAGTTATTTAAAAATATACCCTTAAGTTATAATTGACCATGGTCACCTTATTGTCCTATAAAATAGGATATCTTATTCATTTTTTTGTACCCATTAACCAAGTCTGACTCCTCCGCCTGCTTTTTTTTTTTTTCTTTGAGATGGAGTCTTGCTCTGTCACCCAGGCTAAAGTGTAGTGGCATGATCTCAACTCATTGCAACATCCACCTCCCTGGTTCAAGCAATTCTCCTGCCTCAGCCTCTGGAGTAGCTGGGATTACAGGTGTGCACCACCACACCTGGCTAATTTTTGTATTTTTAGTACAGATGGGGTTTCACCATGTTGGCCAGGCTGGTCTGGAACTCCAGGCTGGTCTGACCTCAAGTGATCCACCTGCCTCGGCCTCCGAAATTGTTGGGATTACAGCCCACTCCCTCTTAACCCTCCACTAACCTTCCTAGCCTCGGATAGTCATCCTTCTACTCTCTATGTCCATGAGTTCAATTGATTTGATTTTTAGATCCCACAAATAAGTGAGAACATGAGATGTTTGTCTTTGTGTGCCTGGCTTATTTCACTTAGTATAATGATCTCCAGTTCTACCCATGTTATTGTCTGTTTTTTGGATATAATCCATTTTAACTGGGGTGAGATAATATCTCATTGTAGTTTTGATTTACATTTCTCTGATCAATGATGTTGAGCCCCTTTTCTTATTCCAGTTTGCCATTTGTATGTCTTCTTTTGAGAAATGTCTATTTGAATCATTAGCCCATCTTTTCATCACATTTTTAGCTTTTTTTCTGTAGACTTGTTTGAGCTCCTTATATATTCTCATTATTAATCTCTTGTCAGAGGGGTAGTGTATTAGTCTGTTCTTGCTTTGCTATAAAGAACTACCTTAGACTGGGTAATTTATAAAGAAAAGAGCTTTAATTGGCTCATAGTTCTGCAGGCTGTACAGGCAGCATGGCTAGGGAAGCCTCAGGAAACTTATGGTCATGATAGAAGGCAAAGAGGAAGGAATCATAACTTCCATGGCGGGAGCAGGAGGAAGAGAGTAAATGGGGAGATGCCACACACTTTTAAACAACTAGATCGTGTGAGAACTCACTATTGTGAGAATAGCAAGGGGGCAATCCACCCCCATGATTCAGTCACCTCCAACGAGGCCCACTTCCAATACTGGGGATTACAGTTCGACATGAGATTTGGGCAAGGACACAAATTCAAACCGCAACAGATAATTTGCACATATTTTCTCCCATTCGGTGCATTGTCTCTTTGCTTTGTTGATTGTATCCTTTTCTCTGCAGAAGCTTTTTAACTTGATATGATCCCATTTGTCCGTGTTTACTTTGGTTGCCTGTGCTTGTGGGGTAATGCTGTTCAGGAAGTCTTTGCCCAGACCAATGTCTTGGAGATTTTCCCCAGTGTTTTCTCGTAGTAGTTTCATAGTTCAAGGTCTTAGATTTCGGTCTTTAATCCACTTTGATTTATTTTTTATATATGGCAAGAGATAGGGGTCTCATTTCTTTCTTTTGCATATGGATATAGAGTTTTCCCAGCACCATTTATTGAAGAGACTGTTTTTTCTCCAGCGTATGTCCTTGGTACCTTTGTCAAAAATTCACACACCTACAGTGAAAAGACCAGATTTGTTTCTGGTTCTTTATTCTGTTCCATTGGTTTTTGTGTCTGCTTTCATGCCAGTACCATGCTGTTTTTGTTACTATAGCTCTGTAGTATATTTCGAAGTCAGGTAATGTGATTCCTCCAATTGTGTTCTTTTTGCTTAGGATAGCTTTGGCTATTCTGGGTCTTTTGTGGTTCCATATAAATTTTAGGATTGTTTTTTCTGTTTCTGTGAAGAATGACATTGGTATTTTAATAGGGATTACATTGAATCTGTAGATTGCCTTGGTTATTAAGGATATTTTAACAATATTGATTCTCCCAATCCATGAACACAGAATATTTTTCCATTTTTTGGTGTCCTCTTCAATTTCTTCAGCATTTTATGGTGTTCATTATAGACATTTTTCACTTCTTAGGTTAATTCCTAGGTATTTAATTTTATGTGTGGCTATTGTAAATGGGATTTTGAAAATTTTCTTTTTCACATTGTTCACTGTTGGCATATAGAAATGTTACTGATTTTTGTATGTTGATTTTGTGTCTACAACTTTGTTAGTTCTAGTAATTTTCTTGTGGAATCTTTTGTGTTTTCTAAATATAAGATCATATCACCTGCAAACAAGGATAATTGACTTCCTCCTTTCCGCTTTGAATGTTCTATCTTTTTCTTGCCTGATTTCTCTGGCTAGGATTTCCAGTACTGAGATAAATAACAGTGATGACAGTGGGCATCCTTGTTGTGTTCCTGATCTTAGAGGAAAAGTTTTTAGTTTGTCCCCATTCAGTGGGATACTAGCTGTGAGTCTGTTATATGTGGATTTTATTATATTAAAATGTGTTACTTCTAACCCCAGTTTTTGAGGGTTTTTATCATGAAGGGATGTTGAATTTTATCAACTGTTTTTCAGCATCAATTTAAATGCTCATATGGGTTTTGGTCCTTAGTACTGTTGATACGATGTATCACACACATGATTGATTTGTGTGTGTTGAACCATCCTTGCATCCTAGGGGTAAATCCCTCTTGATCGTGATGAATGATCTTTCTAATATATTGCTGAATTTGGTTTGCCAGCATTTTGTTTTATGATTTTTGCATTAGTATTCATCAGATATATTGGCCTGAAGTTTCCTTTTTTTGATATGTCTTTGTCTGGTTTTGGTATCAGGGTAATACTGGCCTCATAGAATGAATTTGGAAGTATTCCCCCTTTTTCAGTTTTTCAGAATAGTTTGAATAGGATTGATATTTAGTTCTTCTTTACATGTTTGGTAGAATTCAGCAGTGAAGCCATTGGGTCTTGGGCTTTTCTTTACTGGGAAACTTTTTATTATGGTATCAATCTCATTATTTGTTACTGGTCTGATCAGATTTTGTATTTCTTCTTGATTCAATCTTGGTAGGTTGTATGTATGTAGGAATTTGCTCATTACTTGCAGATTTTCCAATTTATTGACTATAGTTGCTCATAGTAGCCAATAATAATCATTTGAATTTCTGCAGTATCAGTTGTAATGTCTCCTTTTTCATTTCTGATTTTATTTATTTGGGCCTTCTCTCTTTTTTAATTAGTCTGGTTGAACGTTTGTCAATTTTCTTTGACTTTTCAAAAATACAGCTTTTTTATATCAAAATAATAAGAGCTATTTATGACAAACCCACAGCCAATATCATACTGAATGGGCAAAAACTGGAAGCATTCCCTTTGAGAACTGGCACCAGACAGGGATGCCCTCTCTCACCACTCCTATTCAGCGTAGTGTTGGAAGTTCTGGCCAGGACAATCAGGCAGGAGAAAGAAATAAAGGGTATTCAATTAGGAAAAGAGGAAGTCAAATTGTCCCTGTTTGCAGATGACATGATTGTATATTTGGAAAACCCAATTATCTCAGCCCAAAATCTCCTTAAGCTGACAGGCAACTTCAGCAAAGTCTCAGGATACAAAATCAATGTGCAAAAATCACAAGCATTCTTATAAACCAATAACAGACAAACAGAGAGCCAAATCATGAGTGAACTCCCATTCACAATTGCTTCAAAGAGAATAAAATACCTAGGAATCCAATTTACAAGGGATGTGAAGGACCTCTTCAAGGAAAACTACAAACCACTGCTCAATGAAATTAAAGAGGATACGAACAAATGGAAGAACATTCCATGCTCATGGATAGGAAGAATCAATATCGTGAAAATGGCCATACTACCCAGGGTAACTTATAGATTCAATGCCAACCCCATCAAGCTACCAATGACTTTCTTCACAGAATTGGAAAAAACTAAAGTTCATATGGAACCAAAAAAGAGCCTGCATTGCCAAGTCAATCCTAAGCCAAAAGAACAAAGCTGGAGGCATCACGCTACCTGACTTCAAACTATACTACAAGGCTACAGTAACCAAAACAGCATGGTACTGGTACCAAAACAGAGCTATAGACCAATGGAACAGAACAGAGCCCTCAGAAATAATACCACACATCTACAACTATCTGATCTTTGACAAACCTGACAAAAACAAGAAATGGGGAAAGGATTCCCTCTTTAATAAATAGTGCTGGGAAAACTGGCTAGCCATATGTAGAAAGCTGAAACTGGATCCCTTCCTTACACCTTATACAAAAATTAATTCAAGATGGATTAAAGACTTAAATGTTAGACCTAAAACCATAAAAACCCTAGAAGAAAACCTAGGTAATACCATTCAGGACATAGGCAGGGGCAAGGACTTCATGTCTAAAACACCAAAAGCAATGGCAACAAAAGCCAAAGTTGACAAATGGGATCTAATTCAACTAAAGAGCTTCTCCACAGCAAAAGAAACTACCATCAGAGTGAACAGGCAACCTACAGAATGGGAGAAAATTTTTGCAATCTACCCATCTGACAAAGGGCTAATATCCATAATCTACAAAGAACTCAATCAAATTTACAGGAAAAAAACAACCCCTTCAACAAGTGGGCGAAGGATATGAACAGACACTTCTCAAAATAAGACGTTTATGCAGCCAAAAGACACATGAAAAAATGCTCATCATCACTGGCCATCAGAGAAATGCAAATCAAAACCACAATGAGCTACCATCTCACAGCAGTTAGAATGGTGATCATTGAAAAGTCAGGAAACAACAGGTGCTGGAGAGGATGTGGAGAAATAGGAACACTTTTACACTGTTGGTGGGACTGTAAACTAGTTCAACCATTGTGGAAGTTAGTGTGGTGATTCCTCAGGGATCTAGAACTAGAAGTACCATTTGACCCAGCCATCCCATTACTGGGTATATACCCAAAGGATTATAAATCATGCTGCTATAAAGGCACATGCACACATATGTTTATTGCGGCACTATTCACAATAGCAAAGACTTGGAACCAAGCCAAATGTCCATCAGTCATAGACTGGATTAAGAAAATGTGGCACATATACACCATGGAATACTGTGCAGCCATAAAAAAGGATGAGTTCATGTCCTTTGTAGGGACATGGATGAAGCTGGAAACCATCATTCTCAGCAAACTATCGCAAGAACAAAAAACCAAACACTGCATGTTCTCACTCATAGATGGGAACTGAACAATGAGAACACATGGACACAGGAAGGGGAACATCACACACCAGGGCCTGTTGTGGGGAGGGAAAGCATTAGGAGATATACATAATATAAATGATGAGTTAATGGGTGCAGCACACCTACATGGCATATGTATACATATGTAACAAGCCTGCACATTGTGCACATGTACCCTAGGACTTAAAGTATAATAAAAAGGAAAGAAACAATATATAATCCCAACAAAAAAATACAACTTTTTTTTTAAAAATTATCTTTTGTTTTGTATTTTTTGTTTCAATTTCATTTATTTCTGCTCTGATCTTTTATTATTTTTTTCCTCCTACTAGTTTTGAGTTTGGTTTGTCCTCAATTGTGTAGTTCTTTAAGACACATCGTTAGATTGATTATTTGGTTTTTCCTCTTTTTTTGATGTAGGCACTTGTAGCTATAAATTTCCCAGTGAGTACTGCTTTTGCTGTATTCCACAGGTTTTGGTATATTGTGTTTTGTTTGTCATTTGTTTTTAGACATTTTTCAATTTTCTTCTTAATTTTTTCATTGATCCACTGGTCATTCAGGAGAATATTGTATAATTTCCATGTGTTTATATATTTTCCAAATTTCCTGTTATTAATTTCTAGTTTTTTTCATTGTGGTCAGAGAATACGCTTGAGATATATATAATATATATATATAAATGTTTTAAGACTTGTTTTATGACCTAATGTATAGCCTGTCCTTCAGAATGATCCATGTGCTGAGGAAAAGAATGTGTATTCTGCAGCTCTTGGATGAAATGTTCTGTAAATATCCATTAGATTCATTCAGTTTATAGTGCAGATTATGTCTGATGTTTCTTTGTTGATTTTCTGTTTGAAAGATCTGTCCAATGCTTAAAGTGGGGTGTTGAATTCTGTAGCTTTTATTGTACTGGGGGCTATCTCTCTTTTTACCTCTAATAATATTTTTTTTTCTTTTCTTCTTTTTTTTTTTTTTTTTTTTTTTGAGATAGAGCCTTACTCTGTTGCCCAGGTTGGAGTGCAGTGGCACAATCTCTCGGCTCACTGCAAGCTCCACCTCCTGGGTACATGCCATTCTCCTGCCTCAGCCTCCCGAGTAGTTGGGACTACAGGCGCCCACCACCACACCTGGCTAATTTTTTGTATTTTTAATAGAGAAAGAGTTTTACTGTTTTACCCAGGATGGTCTCAATCTCCTGATCTTGTGATCTGCCTGCCTCAGCCTCTCAAAGTGCTGGTATTAACAGGCATGAGCCACTGCACCCAGCCTAATATTTCTTTTATATATTGGGTGCTCCAGTTTTGGGTACATCTATCTTTAGAATTGTTATATCCTCTTGCTGTAGTGACTTTTTTACCATTATATAGTGATCTTGTCTCTTCTTATAATTTTTGTCTTGAAATCTATTTTGTCTGTTGTAAGTATGGCTAATCGTACTCTATTTTTGGTTTCCATTGGCACAAAATATCTGTTTTTATCCCTTTATTTTCAGTTTCTGTGTGTCTATGTAGATGAAGTGTATTTCTTGTAGGCAGCAGATCAATGAGTCTTGTTTTTTTATTCAGTCAGCCAGTATATGTATTTTGATTACAGAGTTTAGTCCATTTACATTCAATGATATTATTGATAAGGACTTACTTTTGCCATTTTGTTGTTTTGTGGTTGTTTTGCGATCTTCTCTTCCTTGTTTCTTTCCTTCTTGTCTTCCTCTAGTGAAGGTGATTTTCTCTAGTGATATGATTTAATTTCTTGCTTAAAAATTTTGTGTGTATCCATTATGTTTCTTTTTTGGTTTGAGGTTGCAATGAGGCTTGCAAATGCTATCTTATAACCAATTATTTTAACCTGATAACAACTTGACACTATTTGCATAAACAAACAAGGAAAAAGAACACTGTTAAAAACTCCATGCCTTAATTTTAACTATTTATTTATTTGAGACAAAATCTTGCTCTGTCACCCAGGCTGGAGCACAGTGGCATGATCTCAGCTCACTGCAACCTCTGCCTCCCAAGTTCAGGTGATTCTCCTGCCTCAGCCTTCTGAGTAGCTGGGATTATAGGCATTAGCCACCACGCCTGGCTAATTTTTGTATTTTCAGTAGAGACTGGTTTCATCATGCTGGTCAGGCTGGTCTCGAACTCCTTACCTCATGATCTTCCCACCTCGGCCTCCTAAAGTGCTGGGATTACAGGTGTGAGCCCCCATGCCTGGCCCCATGCCTTAATTTTATCCCCTTGCTTTTTAGCTTTTTGTTGTTTCTATTTATGTCTTATTGTATTGACCAAGTCTGGAAAAGTTGCTGTAGTTATTATTTTTGATTGGTTCATCATTTAGTCTCTCTTACTTAAGAGAAGTTTATACACCACAATTATAGTGTTATAATATTCTGTGTTTGTAAAATACAAAATTCTGTGTACTTACTATTACCAGCAAGTTTTGTACCTTCAGGTGATTACTTATTGCTCATTAATATCTTTTTCTTTCTGATTGAAGTACTCTTTTTAGCATTTCTTGTAGGACAGGTCTGGTATTGGTGAAATCCCTCTGTTTTTGTTTGTCTGGGAAAGTCATTATTTGTCCTTCGTGTTTGAAAGATATTTTCCTTGAATATACTATTCTACAGTAAAAGCTTTCTTCCTTCAGCACTTTAAATATGTCATACCACTCTCCTGGCCTGTAAGTTTTCCAGTGAAAAGTCTGCCATCAGACATATTGGAGCCATTGTATGTTGTTTCTTTTCTCTTGCTGCTTTTATAATCAATCCTTTCTTTATCCTTGACCTTTGGGGGTTTGATTATTAAATGCCTTAAGGCAGTCTCTTTGGATTAGATCTGCTTGATAGTCTATAACCTTCTTGTACTCGGATATTGATATCTTTCTCTAGGTTTGGGAAGTGCTCTGTTATTGTCTGTTTGAATAAACTTTGTACCCCTATCTCTTCCTCTACTTCCTTTTTTAAGCCCAATAACTCATAGACTTGCCCTTTTGAGGTTATTTTCTAGATCCTGTAGGCTGCCTTCATTGTTTTTTATTCTTTATTTATTTTTTAATTGTCTCCTCTGTATATTTTCTTTTTCTTTTCTTTTCTTTTTTTTTTTTTTTTTTGAGACAGGGTCTTGCACTGTCACCCAGACTGGAGTGCAGAGGCATGACCTCAGCTCACTGCAACCTCCACTTCCCATGTTCAAGTGATTCTTGTGCCTTAGCCTCCCAGGTAACTAGGATTACAGGCATGCACCACAACACCTGGCTAATTTTTGTATTTTTAGTAGAGATGAGGTTTCACCATGTTGGCCATGCTGGTCTTGAACTCCTGGCTTCAAGTGATCAGCCTACCTTGGCCTCCCAAAGTTTTGGGATTACAGGCATGAGCCACCTCAGCTGGCTCCTCTGTGTATTTTCAAATAACACTAATTCTTGCTTCTGTTTGATCCATTCTGCTATTGAAGGACTGATGCATTCTTCAGTATACCAACTGCATTTTTCAGCTCCAGAATTTCTGCTTGATTGTTTTTTAATTATTTCAGTCTCTGTTAAATTTATCTGATAGAATTCTGAATTTCTTCTCTGTGTTATCTTGAATTTCTTTGAGTTTCTACAACACAGCTCTTTTGAATTCTCTGTCTGAAAGGCCACATATCTCTGTTTCTTCTGGATTGGTCCCTGGTGTCTTATGTAGTTCATTTGGTGAGGTTACTTTTTCCTGGATGATGTTGATGCTAGTAGATGTTCTTCGTGTCTGGGCATTGAAGGGTTAAGTATTTATTGTAGTTTTCACTCTTTGTGCTTATTTATAGCCATCCTTCCTGGGAAGGCTTTTCAGATATTTGAAAAACTTGGGTATTGTGATTGAAGAGGTATCTCCTTTAAGGGGCACTGGAAGCCCAGTAACACTGTGGTTCTAACAGACTCATAGAAGTACTGCCTTGATGGTCTTGGACAAGATCCAGGAGAATTCTCTGGATTACCAGACAGAGATTCTTGTTTCCTTCCCTTTCTTTCTCTCAAATGTACAGTCTCTCTCCTTGTTCTGAGCCGCCTAAAGCTGGAGGTAGAGTGACACAAGCACCTCTGTGGCCGCCACCACCGCGGTGACTACACTGGTTCAGAACTGAAGTCAGCACAGCACTGGGTTTTGCCCAAAGTCTGCTGTAGCCACTCCCTGGCTATTACCTATATTCACTTAAGGCCCTGGGGTCTACAATCAGAAGGTGGCATATCCAACCAGGCCTGTGTCATTCCCTTCAGGGCGTTGAGGTCCCTTAAGCCCCAGGTAGGTCCAGAAGTGTCATCTAGGAGTCAGGGACAACAGTCAAAAACCTTAGAATTCTATCTGGTGTCCTATTGTATTGCAAGTGAGCTGACACTCAAACCACATGATGCAGTCCTTCCCACTCTTCCCTCCCCTTTCCAAAGGCAGAGGAGCCTCATGTTGTAGCCACTAACACTTCAGGGGGAGTACTGCCAGACTACTGCTGATATTCCCTTAAGGCCCAAGGTCTTTTAGGTCAGCTTGTCATGAATGCTGCCTGGCCTTGGACTCATCCATCAGGGCAGTGGGTTTTCCTCTAACCCAGGGCAGGTCCAGAAATGCAGTCTAAGAGTCATGGAATTGGGGACCCCAAGAGCCCACTTGGTGCCCTACCCTTGCTTAGGATTGTCTTGGCAATACAAGCTCTTTAATTATTAGATTTATTTTCTAAATCATTCAAATTTATATGATTTATACGTGTACACATTTTAAAAATCAAACTATCAGTAGTCTCATAATGAGAAATAGCAGTCATTTGCCACCTCTCAACCCATCCATGTGCCTCTCTTTCTCTGCAGAATCAACCACATTTGACTCTTCTACATGTTTTCCTGGTATTTACCTACATAGTTCTACATTGTAAATCTATACTGATATTTATTGATTAATTATATACATTTTCAGTTGATTTCTTGCTGTGAAAGATAAGGACTTAATTCCTTCTTTCTATTTCTACTTCTAATATATTTATTCATCATTATAACTATATGATACATAGGGGCTAAAACAATAATCAGTATTTAATTTTTATTTTTAAAAAAAAATTATGATTATGCAATATCACTATACCTTAAGCCCCTTAGGAACAAAGTGTTTTATTGTTTTGTTTACGAATATATCTTAAGCAATTGAAGAGTACCTAGAACAGAATGCATTCATAAATAATGAATGCATAGTTTACTCTTGACCCAAACAATCATCATGATTCCTTTTATAAATAACACTTCATTACTCAGATATATTTCTTGCATCATATTTTATTGGCATGACTTTCTATAAATTTATTTATTTCATTTTTTAACTTGTACTTTTTAATTAAGATTTTGTTTTTTAGAACAGTTTTAAGTGTACAGAAAAATTGAGCAGAAAGTATAGAGACCTCACATATATCCCTTGCACACTGTTCCCCTATTTTTAACATCTTGCACTAGTGTGGCTCATTTGTTATAATTGATGACCCAATATTATATATTATCATTAATGAAAAACTGTAGTTTAACATTGTTTTCTTTCACTGTGTTGTACAGTTTCTATGGTTTTTACAAATGCATAATGTCATTTATTCAGCATTAAAATATCATACAGCATAGTTTCCCCATTCTAAAAATCTCCTGTGCTTCATCTATGTATTCATCCCTCTTCCCACTCCACCTGAACCTCTGTCAACCACAGACGGACAAACTCTTTAATATTGTTTTATCCAGGATGTGGGTTAGTTGAAATCACACCATATGTAGCCTTGTAGATTGTCTTTGTTCACTTAGTAATATGCCTTTAAGTTTCCTCCATGTCTCTTTGTGGCTTGATAGTGCATTTCTTTTGACCACTGAATAATTTTCCATTGTATAGATGTACCAAAGTTTGTTTATTCATTCACCCATTGTAGGACATCTTTTTTTTTCCCCAGTTTGGGTGATTATGAATAAAGATTCTACAAACATACATTCTAGAAGATCTAAGGTTGCTGCCACTGTTTTTCTACAGATCTCCATCTCACTATCTTCAGTATACCTCTCTAGTAAAAACAATTTTCTTGATAGATTTGCTACTCCCCGTTAACGAAGTACTTTCCTTCCTTTTTTCTTAGGATGCATTCTGTTTCCTGAGTTTTGTGTTTGTGATGTTTAATTTTAGTCTCCACTTTACTGGATCAAGGGTTACCAAGATAATTGGCTAACCATTATTTCTGGGTTTGCCTGTGAGGCTGTTTCTGGAAGATATGAGCATTTGAAGTGGTAGAGAGCAAAGCCAATTGCCCTTCACAATACAAGTGAGAATAGGCACCATCCAATCCACTGAGGGCATGAATAGAACAAAAGGGCAGAAGAAGGGAGATGTTTTTCTATCTCTGCCTGACTGCTTGAGCTGGGACATCAGTCTTCTTCTGTCTTTGGACCAGAACTTACATCATTGGCCCTCTTATTCTTAGAGTTACACCACCAGCTTTCCTGAGTCTCCTGGTTGCAGAAGGCAGATCATGTGACAGCCTCCATAATTAAGAGAGTCAATTCCTTATTATAAATATCTTTCTATATATCTGTACCTGTATTCTATCTATGTCTATATATCTATCTATAACCTATTGGTTCTGATTCTCTGGAGAACCCTAATACAGTGTTCTTCTTTTTCCTTTGTTTGTTTTATAAGAGTATATTTTCCAGTAGCTTCCTAAGAAAGTGTTTATGGAAAAATATATTTTTTTTATTGCATCAATGTCTGAAAATATCTTTTTTGTACTCTTACATTAAATGAACAGTTTATCTAGATAAATTTTAGTTTCTTCTGTTCATGTATATTTGACTTGTAGTATTGCTGTTGAGAATTCTGTTATTCACTTATCTGATGTTTTGTGATCTCTCATTTTTTCTCTTTGTGAGTTTTTAGGATATCTTTTAATAACTGATGTTTTGAAATATGTACAATATGCCTTGCTTGGGTTTGTTTATTGAAAGAACTTTCAATGAAAGCCCAGAATAATCAGGGGGAAAATGTGTTGTATTCTTTCTTTGATAATTTCTTCCCTTTTTGCTTCTCTATTTCTTTGTATGTATAATTTAGAAGTTAGAGCACGTGGGCTGATCATCTAATTCTATAACTTTTTACTTTCTATTATAACTTTTTCTGTTAACACTTTTTAGGATTTTGTGTAGTCTATTTCAGTTTCCTTTTTAAATTTTGGATAGCATATTTTTAATTATCAGGAGTCTTAATTACCTTTGATGTTCCATTTTATAGCTCTCAATTCTTTTTAGTATCTTCTTTCTCTACGAGGTAATTAACAATAGTTTTACTTACCTTTTTATTCTTTGCCCAGCAATGTCTTTATTTCATCTAAGTTCTTATTTAGTCCTGCCCCTTTCTTTAGTCTTTAAGCTATGTGTGATGAAGTATGCAACAAGTTAACGTGGATCGAGAACTCTGCATGTGAGAAGGGTTTGTTAACTTGTGGGATTCTCCTCTGGGTGATTTGGTGGCAAGCTATTTCTTCTACTGGAATGATGCTAAAATGTGTGTGTGTGCTGCTTTTGTTTTCAATTTCTTCAGATAAAAATTGTTTATATCCAGAAGGTTGAATCCTTCTTAGTGAGAGTTCTGGTAGGGTGGGGAAGGAAATTGTAGACTCTAATATGCAAAATTTTTAATATTTTTTTTAATTTCTAGAGCTGAGCCACCCCTTCATCTTTACTTTATTTGCCTGTTGTCTAAGTCTCAGGCATGAAATTTCCCTTTCCTCTCCAGCACACAGTAGGTGAAAAGGGGCTAAAAGCTCCGACTTTTCTTGAAGCCCAGTTTCGACTGAATCTCTTTATATTTTCTGCCTCAGCATTCTGCTTTCTCTAGACCTCACTCTTGAGTTTATCTGTAATTCTCTCTACATTTGTTCACTGTTCAGTATTTTTTCCAAAGATCTCGATTTTGTTAATTCACTTGTTACTTGTTTCCCATATTCAAAAATTTGTTGTAATCTTTTGTCTACTGTTGTCTCTTCTTGTACCCTTTTTGTTCTTGTTAGTTTAAGCATTCAAAAATTACTTTACTTTCATTTTAGTTAAGATTCAAGGGTTAAGGGATAAGCACATATAGGTCAACAACAATGTTAAAATAAAGGAGGCTCTCTGGTTCTTTTTCTTGGCAGACCTTTTGTGGTTCTCATCTTTCCTTTCCTCTGGACACAACCACTCTTATTAAATAGATTTAAACATCATATTTGTCAATAAACTGCATAATACTGTGAACTATTTTAAATCGAATGACATTTTTGACAATGAATGAATTCAACTGAATGTTATGAGACAGCATTTGATGTAATTATTTCATTAATGAAAATGAAGTATTCAATATTGAGGGACTTGAATACATGTTGATGGATACTGTGGATAAGAACTATGGCTCAAAGCCAGCTCAGGGCAATTCACATTTTCAAATAATGAAATGAAGTATTTTCATTGCTTTTTTTTCTTTTTTTTTTTCTCTAGCTTTGCATCTTGATTGAAGCAAAGACATCTGTCTTTTCCCAGATAGCAAGAACTTTGGTTGCTGTGGCAACATATTGACTGGGGAATTTAAAAATAAAGGTGGCTCATTTCCAAATCATTTTTCCCCCTTTTCTTCATGAAAAAGCCACACACTGGCAAGAAACTTCTACTGGAGCCTTTATAACCAATAAACCTATTGTTTGCTGAAGTATTGTATCCCCAAACTTGCATGTTAAGTAGGTGATAATGTGTACATTTGTCTTTCGTATACTTTTAAACCATAAAACACTGAACTACCTCATTTTTAACAAGTTTCTTTCCCTCCCTCCCTCCACGTTTTCCTTCCTTCCTTCCTTCCATCCATCCTTCCTCCCTCACTCCCTACCTCCCTCCCTCTCTCCCTCTCTTCTTCCCTTCCTCCCTTCCTCCCCCTCTACTTTTTGAAATTGTGATGCTGAGGACCTGGGTGGGTACAGAAGGAGGGAGGGGCAAAGGCAGTGAAAGAAACTCTTCAAAGGCCTTTGCTGAGGCAGAGCTTGGTTGCTAGGGCTTGAAAAGATTGTTATTTGTAGCTAACACAAAGTTATTCTAAAATGCACTCAGCCTTAGAAGTAAACAAGTTCTAAATTTTTAAGAGAAGCATGGATTGAATCTTCTGACACATAAAAATAATCTTTTGACACTTTGGAATGCACATATATTTGTGCATTAAATTTCATAAAATGCCAGGGGAAAAGAAAGGAGTTAATTTATTTAAATTGAGGACATATACCTCAAATAACTCACACATTTAAAAAATCTGAATTTTTACAGTATTTATTTCAAAAATTTTATTCTCTTGTGAGACTTGTAGTAATATAGAATTCATCAAAAACAAACCAGCATGATAGGAAAATAAATGTGTGATTCTACTTTAGTTTTATTTATTGACTTATTTGCAAATCTAGAGCCTTGCGATTTGTTTACTTTTCATTTGTTTCACAAATTTATATAAAATAATATTCGCTAGATGAATTAGACAGTTAAAATTTTTAATATAGAAATTATTTAAGTTATACAATCATTCCAAATTTTGCTAGAGGACTGGGCAGGGATAATTTACACAAATCAAGTAATTTTAACATCACAATAAATTCAGTAAGCAAAGGAAACAAAAATGATGTTATCTTTATTAACTATTAGCTATATGATTTCAGTTAAATGTTTAATTTTCAAAGCTATTTATTGGCCTAGAACATGTAATTAATTATTTTTGAAAAGCTGTTAATTTTAAAACTGGCATTTTGAAGTAATGATTAAATGTTAACACAGTGAAAATATAATTTTAATCTTTCTCCTTTTCACCTTTCTGGTATATAGGCTATCATAATGCAATAAAGAATTTGTGATACCTGGTTAGTGATTTTTAAGGTAGAGAAGAATGCAGATATATTCTCCCCTAGTGCATGAGAGTTGTGGAATACTAAACTCACAAACCCAATCTCAAAACTTTATATAATTTTTTTTCCCAAGACACCCCTAATGAGTCCAAATCATAACAAAAGTTTTCTCCAGGCAAAGCTTAATGGATATAACAAGAAGATGCTTGCATAAAACACTAATTCCTACCAATGTTCCTTCTATGAAGGAATTAAGTACAAATTCTTTAGGAGCAGGGACCTCTGGTTATTGAAGGTACAGAGACCATTTATAATGATTTTCAGAAGGTAGAAAAAGAATTGACCAGTTATTTCTGGTTTTGCTTTCCTGTCTCTAATTACCTCTCAGGGCCCTTCCTCCTTCTTATGTTCTACCCCACAGGCCCACTGTTTCAGTTCCTTTCTAGAGGTCAATGACATTCAGAGGATCTAGCTTTATTTCTTTCATATTCTCCTCGCTATATGAATTTCCCCTTAATGATTTTGTTTTTCTTGATTCTTTATGTTATTAGATCAGGGACTAAGCTGCTAAAGTAAAAGATACCAGGGAGATATGTCAGGAAAACTCACTCACTGAAATGTTTAAGAGGAACTATATCTATACTAATTAGAGATTCAGAAGGTTAAAGGCATTTAAAAAGTGCTGAACTTACTCTGTTAGGAAAATTTTCAAGAATTATAGTGGATGGAAAAAAACAACAAAACAGTCTCTCTTAAAGGACCTAAACTCTGGTAGCATTGGCATTGGCCATTTTACCAGCCAATCAACCTCAGAGCATGGTGGAAACATTGGTTGGAAGGATACATTGATGTTTTGAAGACTTTAGGAGACATCAGAGAAGATATCATCATTTCCTCTATACATCTTCCTAGGATAGAAGGCAATGGTAATTGATCAACACTATTCTGAGTAATGTCAATTCCAAATAATTCTGGCATTTAAATATTTCCAAGATGTTTTTAATGTTCCAAGAAGCTTCATGTAGAAAGAAATTCTTACCCATTTTTAACTGAAACAGACACACATGGAATAGAAAAAAGAAAGACATCCACCTGACAATGGACAAACCAGTTAATCTATGAGTAAATTATGTCACAGTAAGATTACTTTCAAATCAAGCTACATCCTCATTTTTAGTGCTCTATTATATTTATCTTTATTTGCAAAGCTTTTTAAAATGGCATTATTTTCAAGACAGTTAATTTAAAAAATTATTGCTACCTGACATATCTTTGCACACTAGAATGCAAGTTCCTTTAGAGCAGAGATTCCATTCTTTTCTTCTTCTCCCTTCTTCTCTCTCTTTTTGCTTTATGTATTTCCAGTACTTAGCATGGTGTCTAATATAACTTAGATGTGATTGTTAAGTGAGGAATGCCTTGAGAGCACGTGAGAAATTGTTAAAAACTTCTGTCAGGGAGATTATGTATTTCATTTTTATTGATTTAATTTTTTCAATAGGTAATAAATGTGGGAGGTATGCAGAAATCAGAAAATATTCTACTCACCAAGAATGTGGCAAGTTACAACCACCAAATGAAAATAGAAACAGAATAGAAATACCAAGATAAGGGACAACTAAGAGACTAAGGAAATATGACAGGTGATGTACAAAATTTTTTGTATTTATTTGCTATACTGGTGCAAAAATAAAAAAAAATGGTTCTCTCACTCTTACCCTAGTATATCATCTATTAGTTGGCACCAGCCCCAAACTAAAAACATGTTTTATTAGTTTCTTATGTTCCTTTCAGAAATTATGTAAATTCAATCAAGTATAAATACAATTTATATCTATCTCATCATACATACTATACCTAGTTTGCTTTATTCAATTACTATGTCTTAGAGATCTTTCCAAATTAGCATATCCTTTTATATGCAAACTGGGATGTTCCAGTTTATGGATGTACCATAATTTATTTATAAGTCCTGCGTTGATAGATATTTAGTTATTATATCAGTCCATTCTCGCATTGCTGTAAAAATACCTGAGACTGGATAATTTACTAAGAAGAGAGGATTAATTGGCTCATGGTTCTTCAAGCTGTACAGAAAGCATGATGCTGGCATCTGTTCAGCTTCTGGGGAGGCCTCAGGAAACTTAAAATCATGGTAGAAGTTGAAGGGGGAGCACTGACATCTTACATGGCAGGAGCAAGAGGGTGAAAGTGAGGTCCCCCACACTTTAAACAACCAGATCTCGTGAAAATTTACTCAGTATCTTGAAGACGGAATGAAAGGGGTGGTGCTAACCCATTCATGAGAAAGCCACCCTCATGATCCAGTCACCTCTCACCCGGCCCCACCTCCAACATTGGGGATTACAAATTCAACCTGAGATTTGGTGAGATAACAGATACAAACCGTATTATTTGGCCTCTGGCCCCTCCCAAAGCTTATATGCCTCTCACATTGCAAAATGCAATCATGCCTTCCCAGTAGTCCCCCAAAGTCTTATTTCAGCACTGACTCAAAAGTCCAAAGTCTAAAGTCTTATCTGACACAAGGCAAGTCTCTTCTACCTATGAGCCTGTAAGAAAAACAAAAACAACAACAATAAAAAAGAAACTAGTTACTTCCAAAATACAATGAGGTTATAGACATTGAGTAAACATTCCTATTCCAAAAGGGCAAAATCAGCCAAGAGAAAGGAGTGACAGGCCCCATGCATGTTCAAAACCCAGCAGGGCAGTCATCAAAACTTAAAGCTCCAAAATAATCTCTTTTGACTTCATGCCTCACATCTAGGGCACATGGGCACATGGATGTGCCATTGGCTCAACCACCCTGGGATCTGGAGGATGGTGGCCTTCATCTCATAGTTCTACTAGGCAGTGACCCAGTGAAGACACTGTGTGGGGGCTCCAACCACTCATTTCCACTCCATACTGCCCTAGTAGAGGTTTCCTGTGAAGGCACAACCCCTCTCAGCAGGCTTCTGCCTGGACACCCAGGCTTTTCAGATATATCCTCTGAAATCTAGGTGGAGGCTCCCATGCCTCATCTCTTGCATTCTGCACACCCACAACATTAACACATAGAAGTCTCCAAGGCTTACAGCTTGCACTCTCTGAAGCAGTGGCTGGAGTTGCAACTGGGCCCTTTAAGCCACAGCTGAGACTGGAGCTGGAGTGTCTGGGATGCAGGGAGAAGTTTCCTGAGGCTGTACAGGGCAGTGGGGCTTCAGGCCTGGCCCAGGACACCATTCTGTCTTCCTAAACTTGTGGGCATGTGGTGGAAGGGGCTGCCTCTTAGATCCCCTAAATGCCTTTGAGGCCATTTCCCATTGTCTTGGCTATCAGACTTGCTTCCTTTTTAGGTATGCAAATTTCAAAGCCTGCTTGAATTTCTACCCTGAAAATGGACTTTGCTTTTTTACCACGTGGCCAGGCTGCAAATTTTTCAAATATTTACACCCTACTTCCCTTTAAATATAAGTTCCAACTTATTTATTTGCTCCTGCATCTGTGTATAGGTGGTTAGAAGCAGTCAAGCCACATCTTGGACACTTTGCTGTTTAAAAGTATCTTCCACCAGATACCTTAGGTCATCACTCTAAAGTTCAAACTTTCACAGATCCCTAGGTAATGAACAGAATTCAATCAAGCTGTTTGTTAAGGCATAACATGGGTGGCCTCTGCTCCAGTTCCCAATAAGTTCCTTATTTCAGTCTGAGACCTCCTCAGCCTGGACTTCATTGTCCATATCACTATCAGTATTTTGATTACAACCATTGAATCAGTCTTTAAGAAGTTTCAAACTTTCCCTCATCTTCCTGTCTTCTTCTGAACCCTCCAAAATCTTCCAACCTCTGCCCATGTGCCTACACCACAAGAGCCCTGGGTTTCAGGAACAAAACTGGGTGACTGTTTGGCAGACACCAAGCTAGCTGCAGAAGTTTTTTTTTGTTTTGTTTTGTTTTTTTTTTTTTGTACCTCAGTGGTTCCTGGAATGCCAGCGAGACAGAACTCTTCACTCCCCTGGAAAGGGGCTGAAGCCAGGGAGTCAAGTGGTCTTGCTCAGTGGATCCCACCCCCACAGAGCTCAGCAAGATAAGATCCACTGGCTTGAAATTCTCACTGCCAGCACAGCAGTCTAAAGTTGACCTGGGATGCTTGAACTTTGTGGGGGGAGGGGCATCCATCATTACTGAGGCTTGAGTAGGTGGTTTTCCTCTCACAGTGTAAACAAAGTTACTGGGAAGTTCAGACTGGGCAGAGCCCACCACAGCACCGCAAAGCCGTGGTAGCCAGACTACCGCCCTAGATTCCTCCTCTCTGGGCAGGACATTGCTAAAAGAAAGGCAGCAGCCCCAGTCAGGGGCTTATGGATAAAATTCCCATCTTTCTGGGACAGAGCACCTGGGGGAAGGTGCAGTTGTGGGTGCAGCTTCAACAGACTTAAACTTTCCTGCCTGTCAGCTTTGAAGAGAGCAGTGGATCTCCCAGCACAATGCTCAAGCTCTGATAAAGGACAGATGGCCTCCTCAAGTGTGTCCCTGATCCCTGAGCCTCCTGATGGAGAGACACCTCCCAGCAGGGATCGACAGACAGCTTATACAGGAGAGCTCCAGCTGGCATCTGTTGGGTGCCCCTCTGGGACAAAACTTCCAGAGGAAGGAGCAGGCAGCAATCTTTGCTGTTCTGCAGCCTCTGGTGGTGCTTCCCAAGCAGACAGCAATCTTTGCTGTTCTGCAGCCTCCGATGGTGCTACCCAGGCAACAGGGTCTGGAGTGGACGCCCAGTAAACTGCAGTAGACCTGCAGAAGAGGGGCCTGTTAGAAGAAAAACTAACAAACAGAAGCAATAGCATCAACATCAAAAAAAAAAGAGTTTGACCAAACAAAAACTCCATTCAAAGGTCACCAACAGCAAAGACCAAAGGTAGATAAATCCACGAAGATGAGGAAAAACCAGTGCAAAAGGGCTGAAAATTCCAAAAACCAGAATGCCTCTTCTCCTCCAACGGATCACAGCTCCTCACCAGCAAGGGAACAAAACTGGATGGAGAATGAGTTTGACTAATTGACAGAAGTAGGCTTCAGGAGCTGGGTAATAACAAACTCCTCTGAGCTAAAGGAGCATGTTCTAACCCAAGGCAAGGAAGCTAAGAATGTTGATAAAAGGTTTGAGGAATTGCTAACTAGAATAACCAGTTTAGAGAAGAACATAAATGACCTGATGGAGCTGAAAAACACAGCACAAGAATGTCATGGAGCATGCACAAGTATCAATAGCTGAATTGATCAAGTAGAAGAAAGGATATCAGAGATTAAAGATCAATTTAATGAAATAAAGTGTGAAGACAAGATTAGAGAAAAAAGAATGAAAAGGAATGAAAAAAAGCCTCCAAGAAACATAGGCCTATGTAGAAAGAGCAAACCTACATTTGATTGGTGTACCTGAAAGTGATGGAGAGAATGGAACCAAGTTGGAAAACACACTTCAGGATAGTATGCAGGAGAACTTCCCCAACCTAGCAAGATAGGCCAACATTCAAATTCAGGAAATACAGAGAACACCACAAAGATACTCCTTGAGAAGAGCAACCCCAAGTCACATAGTCGTCAGATTCACCAAGGTTGAAATGAGGAAAAAATGTTAAGGGTAGCCAGAGAGAAAGGTTGGATTGCCCACAAACCCATCAGACTAACAGCAGATCTCTCTGCATAAATCCTACCAGCCAGAAGAGAGTGGGGGCCAATGTTCAACATTCTTAAAGAAAAGAATTTTCAACCCAGAATTTTATATCCAGCCAAACTAAGCTTCATAGTGGAAGGATAAATAAAATCGTTTACAGAAAAGCAAATGCTGAGGAATTTTGTCACCACCAAGCCTGCCTTACAAGAGCTCCTGAAGGAAGCACTACATATGGAAAGGAAAAACTGGTATGAACTACTGCAAAAACAAACCAAAATGTAAAGACCATCAACATTATGAAGATACTGCATCAACTAATGGGCAAAATACCCAGCTAGCATCATAATGACAGGATCAAATTCACACATAATGGTATTAACCGTAAATGTAAATGAGCCAAATGCCCCAATTAAAAGACACAGACTGGCAAATTGGATAAAGAGTCAAGACCCATTGGTGTGCTGTATTTAGGAGACCTATCTCATGTGCAAAGACACACATAGGCTCAAAATAAAGGGATGGAGGAATATTTATCAAGCAAATGGAAAGCAAAACAAAGCAGGAGTTGCAATCCTAGTCTCTGATAAAACAGATTTTAAACCAACAAAGATAAAAGGGAAAGAAGCGCATTACATAATGGTAAAGAGATCAATGCAACAAGAAGAGCTATACAGAAGCACCCAGATTCATAAAGCAAGTTCTTAGAGACTTACAAAGAGACTTAGACTCCAACACAATAATAGTGGGTGTCGTTAACACCTCACTGTAAATATTAGACAGATCAATGAGACAGAAAATTAACAAAGATATTCAGGACTTGAACTCAGCTCTGGACCAAGCGGACCTAATAGACATCTATGGAACTCTCCACCTCAAATCAACAGAATATACATTCTTCACAGCATCACATCACACTTATTCTAAAATTGACCACATAATTGGAAGTAAAACACTACTCAGCAAATGCAAAATAATGGAAATTATAACAATCTTTCAGACCACAGTGCAATCAAGTTGGAACTCAGGATTAAGAAACTCACTCAAAACCACACAACTATATGGAAACTAAACAACCTGCTCCTGACTGACTACTGAGTAAATAACGAAATTAAGGCAAAGTAAATAAGTTCTTTGAAACCAGTGAGAACAGAGACACAATGTATCGGAATCTCTGAGACACACCTAAAGCAGTGTTTAGAGTGAAACTTATGGCAATAAATGCCCACAGGAGAAAGCAGGAAAGATCTACAATCGACACCCTAACATCACAATTAAAAGAACTAGAGAAGCAAGAGCAAACAAGTTCAAAAGCTAACAGAAGACAAGAAATAATCAAGATTACAGCAGAACTGAAGGACATAGACACGAAAAACCCTTCAAAAAATCAATGAATCCCGGAGCTGGTTTTTTGAAAGAATTAACAAAATACATAGATCGCTAACCAGACTAATAAAGAAGAAAAGAGAGAAGAATCAAATAGACACAAGAAAAATGATAAAGGGGAGATCACTACTGATCCCCCAGAAATACAAATTACTATCAGGGAATATTATAAACACCTCTACACAAACAAACTAGAAAATCTAGAAGAAATGGATAAGTTCCTGGACACATACACCCTCCCGAGACTAAATCAGGAAGAAGTTGAATCCCTGAATAGACCAATAATAAGTTCTGAAATTGAGGTAGTAATTAATAGCCCACCATCTAAAGAAAGCTCAGGACCAGATGGATTCACAGCCAGATTCTTCCAGTGGTACAAGGAAGAGCTGGTACCATTCCTTCTGAAACTGTTCCAAACAGAAAAAGAGGAACTCCTCACTAACTCATTTTATGAGGCTAGCATAATTCTTATACCAAACCTGGCAGAGACACAATAAAAAAGAAAATTTCAGGCCAATATCCCTGATGAACATCGATGCAGAAATCCTCAATAAAATATTGGCAAACTCAACCCAGCAGCACATTGAAAAGCTTATCCACCATGATCAAGTTGGCGTCATCCCTGGGAGGCAAGCCTGGTTCAATGTATGCAAATCAATAGATGTAATCCATGACATAAAGAGAACCAATGACAAAAACCACGTGATTATCTCAATAGAGGCAGAAAAGCCCTTTGATAAGATTCAACATCACTTCATGGTAAAAACACTCAATAAACTAGGTACTGATGGAAGATATCTCAAAATAAGAGCTATTTTTATGATAAACCCACAGCCAATATCATACTGAATGGGTAAAAGCTGGAAGCACCCCCTTTGAAAACCGGCACAAGACAAGGTTGCCCTCTCTCACCACTCCTAGTCAACATACTATTGGAAGTTCTGGCCAGGGAAATCAGGCAAGAGAAAGAAATAAACGGTATTGAAATAAGAAGAGAGGAAGTCAAATTATCTCTGTTTGCAGATGATATGATTATATATTTAGAAAACCCCATTGTCTCAGCCCCAAATCTCCTTAAGCTGATAAGCAACTTTAGCATAAAGTCTCATGATACAAAATCAATGTGCAAAAATCACAAGCATTCCTGTACACCAATAATAGACAGAGAGTCAAATCATGAGCAAACTCCCATTCACAATTACTACAAAGGGAATAAAATACCTAGGAATATAACTTACAAGGGATGTGAAGGACCCCTTCAAGGAGAACTACAACCACTGCTCAAGGAAATAAGAGAGGACACAAACAAATGGAAAAACATTCCATACTCATGGACAGGAAGAATCAATATCATGAAAATGGCCATACTGCCCAAAGTAATGTATAGATTCAATGCTATTCCCATCAAACTACCATTGACTTTCTTCACAGAATTGTAAAAAAAAACTTTAAATTTCATATGGAACCAAAAAAGAGCCCATATAGCCAAGAAAATCCTAAGCAAAATAGAACAAACCTGGAGACATCACATTATCTGACTTCAAACTGTACTGAAAGGCTATAGTAACCAAAACAGCATAGTACTGATACCCAAACAGATATATAGACCAATGGAACAGAACAGAGGCCTCAGAAATAACACCACACATCTACAACCATCTGATCTTTGACAAATCTGACAAAAACAAGAGATGGGGAAAGGATTCCCTATTTAATAAATGTTGTTGGGAAAACTGGCTAGCCATATGCAGAAAACTGAAACTGGACCCCTTCCTTACACCTTATACAGAAATTAACTCAAGCTGGGTTAAAAATTTAAACGTAAGACCTAAATCCATAAAAACCCTAGAAGAAAACCAGGCAATACTATGTAGGACATAGGCATGAGCAAAGACTTCATGACTAAAATACCAAAAGCAATGGCAACAAAAGCCAAAATTGACAAATGGGATCTAATTAAACTAAAGAGCTTCTGTACAGGAAAAGAAACTATCATCAGAATGAATAGGCATAGAGAACGGGAGACAATTTTTGCAATCTATGCATCTGACAAAGGGCTAATATCCAGAATCTACAAGGAACTTAAACAAATTTATGAGAAAAAAACAACTCAATCAAAAAGTGGGTGAAGGACATGAACAGACACTTCTCAAAGGAAGACATTTAGGCAGCCAACAAACATATGAAAAAGAGCTCATCACTGGTCATTAGAGAAATGCAAATCAAAACCACAATGAGATACCATCTCATGCCAGTTATAATAGCAGTCATTAACAAGTCAGGAAATAACAGATGCTGGAGAGGATGTGGAGAAATAGGAACGCTTTTGCACTGATGGTGGGAATGTAAATTCATTCAACCATTGTGGAAAACAGTATAGCAATTCCTCAAGAATCTATAATCAGAAATACCATTTGATCCGGCAATCCCATTACTGGGTATATACCCAAAGGATTATAAATCATTCTACTATAAAGACACATGCACACGTATGTTTATTCCAGCACTATTCACAATAGCAAAGACTTGGAACCAACCCAAATGCCCATCAATATAGACTGGATAAAGAAAATTTGGCACATATACACCATGGAATACTATGAAGCCATAAAAAAATGAGTTCATGTCCTTTGCAGGGACATGGATGAAGCTGGAAACCATCATTCTCAGCAAACTAACCCAGGAACAGAAAACCAAACACCGCATGTTTTCACTCATAAGTTGGAGTTGTACTATGAGAACATACGGGCACAGGGAGGGGAACATCACACACCAGAGCCTGTCGGTGGGTGGAGGGGCAAGGGAGGGATAGCATTAGGAGAAATACCTAATGTAGATGACAGGTTGATAGGTGTAGCATACCACCATGGCACGTGTATACCTATGTAACAAACCTGCACATTCTGCACATGTATCCCAGAACTTAAAGTATAATTAAAATAAAAAATAAACCCTGATATGCTACTTTTTGTCAGAATAATGCTAATAATACACAGGAAATACCTTAGTTATTTCTAAGCAGCAGACCCTGAGGCAAGTATAAAGGTAAGGATTTGATTTATTTAGAGGATGCAATTCAAGAGCAGTTAAGGGAAGCAAGGAAAGATGAAAAAGAATGGAATGCATTGCATTACTGTGCTGGTAACTGCTCCTCAATCTACTGCAGAGGCATAGAAAGTCCCTCAACAGACCTGTGGTATGCAGGAATTCACCAAAGTTTATGGAAGAGTAGTTAACAGAAGGGAAAAATGGGGAGGTATTTATCTGCTTTACTGTCTGTCATAAGAAGTTTCCTATTGTTTCATTCTCACCCCATAGGGACAAACTCCCCTTCACTTTACAGGCTGCCTAGTCCACTCACATGGAGGCTACTTGTGAAGCCAGATAACGCACACAGATATGCTGAATTCTTGGAGTCTGGCAGCAAAGGAGGAGTTTGCTATTTCTGAGGAGCTAATCCATGAGGAGAAAGGAGACAGTTAACAGCACCTAAGAGAGTAAGAAAACCCAAAAGGTTTTTATTCTTTATGTTTGATTGCAGTACATACAAAGAGTTTAGCTTATTAGCTTTTCAATGATTACCTAATATTAGCAAATCACTCATAGTAATTCATTTCAGGAACAAATTAGAATAAAGCAATGCATCTATATCTCTTGAAACAACAACAACAAAAAGAATTTGGAAAAACTTGGTAGCCTTTCTGCATTTTAAACAAAAGTCTATATAAAGAAAAATATAACAAAAGTATATAAACATTATGTTAAAACTACTACAAACCTATAGTAATTAACTTAATAAATATTAATGGTATAAAGCAGGCTGTACAAATTGAATTGTTTTTGAAGTTATATCTAACAATAATACAAGAAAATGAAGTAATATAAATCAGATATAAGGATTATTTTAAATTTTGTATATTGTTACATACCTATAAAAATCTCTTAGAAATATTTTGAAGTTTATATGAAGAAAAGCTATTACTCATATTTAAAATTTATAAGACATTATATATCATAGCAGAATACATAATAAATATGTAGAAACCAATAACTTTCCTCAATGATAGTAATAATCAGTTAGCAATAAAAAAGAAAAAATAAAATTTAGACCACCACATTAAGGGCTAGCAGTTTATAGAGTAAGATGCTGTTCAGTGTGTTCAAGGCACAGGGACAAAAGTAACTATAATCAAAAGAATAACATTTTTCACCAATCTGCTAAGATGAAAATTGTTGCATTTATTTAGATTTTGTTTACAGTGTTGCACCTAAACAACTTCTTCATGAGGGTGAATGTACCTATCGAACCTTTTTGGTTTTTTTTTTTTATAGCATTAAGTGTATTAACATCATTTTAAACAGGTGAACACAAGTATAGTGCTTTTTGTTGACCTATACTAACACATGAATACTGCAGAGCAATCCTAGGGTAGGATGGGGGAAAGGAAATAGAGAAATGCCTTCACTGCTCTCTGTGAAAAATGAATGTCTTCAACGTGATATGTTTTGCTAATTTTTTAAATTTTATAGGCCAGAAGAAAAGCTTAGATATTTTCATAATATTTGTTATTGACCAAGTAGGGATTCAAGTAGTTAGGATAGTAGCCATAATACCAATTAATTGATAAAGCCAATAAATTAATACTGCTAAAATTCTTCTTTTAGAGTTTGTTTAGGCATTCCTAATTTCCACTTCTACCCTCTCAAATATCTGGATGTTTTCACATTCTTAAATAAGGAGCCAGTAGAAAACCAGAAGCTTGCACCATTGAGTATAGAAAAAAGAGTATTAAGAAATGAAAAAAATTAAAAGCACATATTAAAAGGGTCACAGCATAATCCCTAGAAGTGTTTAATTTTGAGCACAACTGTACCCTGAAGACCCCAGGAAATGATACGCTTTTTCCCACCAGCAACACAGTCACTTGAGTATTTCTTTCACACCTCCATTAGAAAAAAAGACAGGGCATACCGCTTAATATTGTTGTTATCTAAACCACACGTGGTAGTTTATATTTTGCACAGAAAACCCAAATAATAAGTCAAATTTATTTTTACAAAAGTAATTTATTTGTTCTACGAATAAAAGTAACTGTTGATCATTTGTGCCAATCACCATGCTAAGCATTTAAACAAAATTATCTCATTTTTACTCTCCCAGTGACCCAAGATGTTATTGTCCAATTTTACAGATGAGAATAGTAAATATATGGGGCTTATGGAAGTTGGCTAAGTGTATACACAGCTAGGAAGTGGTGGAAATACGATTCAATTTAGATTTAACTCCAAAGTTTTAAGTTCTAAACTGCAATGCAATACTGCCTTTTCCATAGAAGACTTTTGATTCTAGAGAATTTAAGTCAACTCATTTGTTTACATAGTCAAAAATTAAAATTCCAGATATACTGAAATTTTTAGTATTGATGGAAATTCACTGTATAGTAGATTGATCACCCTGCCAGAAATAGTTCAAAAAGCTGACTATTTCTATTAGCTTCTAAAACTGAAGAGAGGTCCATTCTTTGTAAGACCCTTTTTTTAAAAAAAAGAAAAAAAATCACAATTTTAGGGCCATTCTATTAGTGATGGTTAATTAAGAATAAAACTAAATTCTCAGTTACATAGAAATAGTAAATCCTGATATTTTCTCTACTGAAAGAGTGCAAAAAACAAAGCAGCCCATTTCTTCAGTGTCATTTAAATTGAATTTCTATGATAACTTTGGAGTGAAAGTGGAGCTCATATGTTAATATTTGGCCCTATGTAAATTAGACTATAAATTTAGTAAGTAAATTATTCACTTTTCACCATAGTTATATTTGTTATGAAAGAAAAATAATAGCGGATAACTTTTTTAAAAAACACTTTTCTTGATTTTTATTATCTCTTGGACACTACCATACTCAGGACAGCATTTATCTTCCTGCACACTAGAAAACTCATAGCCAAAGGGATGAGAGAAAAGTCACTTATAGCCCTCAAGCTGAAATAGCTTCAGGCTGATATGATGTCATTAATACACCTCAGAATATCTGATTTTTAAAGTAATTCTACCATGCCTTGTATATTGTGACTATACTTAAGAAATTGGGACAGCTCCAAAATCAAACTTCTTGATAAGATGTATAAATCAAGAATAATAGTTATTACTTCTTTGAAAAACTCTTACAATAAAAAAAAGATTATATTTTTGGCACAAATTTAGCTAATAAAGCATCGTTATTCATTTAGTCAACTCATGGGTTTTTTGCCCCATTGTATATTGCATTGCATTATATTTAATTAGGGGTCAAATCTTGATTTTGTGATTGTTATTTTTCATGAAATAAGTAGATTATATTAGTTGTTTTTAGTGTAAATAACACATTAATAAAAGATGATGTAATTATAGAGCTATGACATTTTCTTTTTTTTCTTTTTTTTATTATTATACTTTAAGTTCTAAGGTACATGTGCATAACGTTCAGATTTGTTACATATGTATACATGTGCCATGTTGGTGTGCTGCACACATTAACTTGTCATTTACATTAGGTATATCTCCTAATGCTATCCCTCCCCCCTCCCCCCTCCCCCCACCCAACAACAGGCCCATTGTGCGATTTTCCCCTTCCTGTGTCCAAGTGTTCTCATTGTTCAATTCCCACCTATGTGTGAGAACATGCACTGTTTGGTTTTTTGTCCTTGCGATATTTTGCTAAGAGTGATGGTTTCCAGCTTCATCCATGTCCCTACAAAGGACATGAACTCATCATTTTTTATGGCTGCATAGTATTCCATGGTGTACATATGCCACATTTTCTTAATCCAGTCCATCATTGTTGGACATTTGGGTTGATTCCAGGTCTTTGCTGTTGTGACTAGTGCTGCAATAAACATACGTGTGCATGTGTCTTTATAGCAGCATGATTTATAATCCTTTGGCTATATACCCAGTAATGGGATGGCTGGGTCAAATGGTATTTCTAGTTCTAGATTCCTGAGGAATCGCCACACTGACTTCCACAATGGTTAAACCAGTTTACAGTTCCACCAACAGTGTAAAAGTGTTCCTGTTTCCCCACATCCTCTCCAGCACCTGTTGTTTCCTGACTTTTTAATGATTGCCATTCTAACTGGTGTGAGATGGTATCTCATTGTGGTTTTGATTTGCATTTCTCTGATGGCCAGTGATGATGAGCATTTTTTCATGTGTCTTTGGCTGCATAAACGTCTTCTTTTGAGAAGTGTCTGTTCATATCCTTCGCCTACTTGTTGAAGGGGTTGTTTGTTTTTTTCTTGTGAATTTGAGTGCTTTGTAGATTATGGATATTAGCCCTTTGTCAGATGAGTAGATTGCAAAAATTTTCTCCCATTCTGTAGGTTGCCTGTTCACTCTGATGGTAGTTTCTTTTGCTGTGCAGAAGCTCTTTAGTTTAATTAGATCCCATTTGTCAACTTTGGCTTTTGTTGCCATTGCTTTTGGTGTGTTAGACATGAAGTCCTTGCCCATCCCTGTGTCCTGAATGGTATTGCCTAGATTTTCTTCTAGGGTTTTTATGGTTGTAAGTCTAACATTTAAGTCTTTAATCCATCTTGAATTAATTTTTGTATAAGATATAAGGAAGGGATCCAGTTTCAGCTTTCTACATGTGGCTAGCCAGTTTTCCTAGCACCATTTATTAAGTAGGGAATTCTTTCCCCATCTCTTGTTTTTCTCAGGTTTGTCAAAGACCAGATAGTTGTAGATGTGTGGTATTATTTCTTAGGGCTTTGTTCTGTTCCGTTGGTCTATATCTCTGTTTTGGTCCCAGTACCATGCTGTTTTGGTTACTGTAGCCTTGTAGTATAGTTTGAAGTCAGGTAGCGTGATGCCTCCAGCTTTGTTCTTTTGGCTTAGGATTTACTTGGCAGTGCAGGCTCTTTCTTGGTTCCAT